>NC_000006.12:1272121-1423636 GCF_000001405.40 Homo sapiens | reverse complement strand
TTGGTGTGGTTTGTTATGTGGCGAGATAACCGGCCCACCTCTCTGGTGGGAAAGTCCGGTGCATATAAAAGGTAGTTATTTCCCTGAGTATTAGAGCTGGGACGGGGAGAGGTAGGGAGGGTGGGGAGAGGTAGGGAGGGTGGGGTAAGGCTGGGTAATGGATCCCAAATTACAGCTGGATAGGAGGAGAGAGTTCTGCCTTGGGGCAGGACTGTAGGGTGAATGTGGTCAGCACTAATTTATTGTATATTTCAAAAAGCTAGAAGTGAGGATTTTGAATGTTCAGAACACCGAGAAATGATACATGTCTGGAGATGAATTTGCTAATTACCCGGATTTGGTCATTATGCATTGTAAACGTGCATCGCAGTATCACACTGTACCCCATAAATATGTATAATTATTATCAAAATACAGGAGGAAAAAACTTTATGAAACCTACTGCCAAATCCAAAGTTTGAATAAATTGTCTAGTGAATTTACATCTGAAAAAAAAGTTCTTTCCCTAACCTCAAGGCCCTGCATGAACCCCACAGCCCCTCTGTGCCTCTGCCTTCACTTTGGCCCTCGCTCAGCCCCCACCGACTTCAGCTCCTGGAGCGCACCTCATTTGCCCTGCTCCAGTCCCTCACAGGGACAGCTCCTTCCTCTGACATGTCCTGCTCCTGGCCGGCTTCCTGCCCGGATGTCACCAGTCTGAGAAGTCTAACCTGCGCCCACCTGAAATGTCTGGCGCCACCCTCCCCCTCTGCACTCCCTCCCCGCTTCCTTTGCTCTATTTTTCTTTCCCTCTTTTATCAGCACTTGGCATCGTTGCTGCTTTATCTCTTTGACTGTTTCCCCTCCTAACTACCCCTGCCCTGCCATTAAAATCAAGCTCCCTGAGTGCAGGGATTTGGTCTTCGTTCATGTTGTATCCAGGGCCTGTCCATAATACAAACAATAGCTAATACCTAAAAAGTGCTTATCACCAGCTGGGCACTGTTTAAAGGGTTAATTTACCCTCACAAAAAACTTAGGAGGTAGATACAATTACCCCCATTTTCTAGGTGAGAAAACAGAGTCACCAGCAGGTTCAGTAACTTGCCCTGGGTAACACAGCTACTGGGTGACACAGCTACTGGGTGACACAGCTACTGAGCGGCAGAGCAAGTATTTAAACCCAAGCTGACTGGCTCCTAGTGGGCACTCAATAAATACTTTTTAGTACATAAACAAATAAGTGACTGAACTTTCTATTTCTCCTGCTGCAGCAGGGCTCCAACAGGACAGGGAAAGATTTCTGCTGAGCAATCCCCACTGAGAACCAGAACTCCTTTTTTTATTATAAAAATGAAATTATTTCTTAGCCTCCTGATAGTATAGTTTACTTCCCTTCAGCATTTTTTTGTAAAAATGGAAATTTAGGCAACATTGTAGGGCAATATATCAATATAAAAAATCAATTATATTTCTAATAGCAATAAATATATAAATAATATTTATATACTTATATAAATATTTACTATAAATATATAATAATACATCAATAAATTATAATAATATATAATACATTAGATTAAGATATGGTATATTACATTAATGTATAATATAAATTATAAATATGATATATAATATAGAATATAAAGATATACATATTTATATATTTATTGCTATTATTAAATAATAAATAATATATAAATAATCTGAAAATGAGACTGATAAAACGATTTCAGTTACATGGGTATCAAGAAGAATCAAATACCTAGGAATAAATTTAAGAAGTGCAAAGCTTTTTACTCTTAAAACTATAATACATTGTTGAAAAAAATGAAAGACCTAAATCTATAGAAAGGTATCTCATATTCATGAATCAGAAAACTTCTTACTGTTAAGATGGCAATAGTCCCTAAATTGATGTACAGATTAAATGTAATCCCTATCAATATCCTAGCTTGCTTTGTTATGTAAATTAACATGCTAATCCTGAAATTTATATAGAAATTCAAGGACTGACTCAGGATAGCTAAACATTATTGAAAAAGAAGAACAAAGTTGGAGGATTCAGACTTCCCAATTTCAAAACTTACTACAAAGTTACAGTAATCAAGACAGTGTGGTACTGGCATAAGGACAAATATGTAGTCCAATGGGACTAAATTGAGAGTCCAGAAATCAGATTTTACATTATGGCCAATGCCATAAGAGAATAGCCTTTTCATCAAATGGTGCAAAAGAATAGGGTTGGACCCCTACCTCACACCATATTTAGGAAATGAATCAAAGACCTAAATGTAAGAGCTAAAACTATAAAACTCTTAGAAGAAAACAGGTGTAAATCTTGTGCTCTTGGTGAGGCAAAGCCTCCTTAGCTGTGACTCAAAAAGCATAACTGAGAAAAGATAATAGATGAATTGGACTTCATCAAAATAAAAAACTTTTGTGCTGCAAATGATATCTCCAACAAAGTAAAGAGGCAACCCACAGCATAGGAGAAAATATTTTCAAGCTGTGTATATAAAAAGAATCTTGTAGCCAGAATATATAAAGAACAACTTAACAGTAGGAAGATAAATAATTAAAAATGGGCAAAGCATCTAAATAGACATTTCTTCAAAGAAGATATACAAATAGCCAATAAGATGCTCAATGTTATTAGCCATTGGGGAAATGCAAATCAAAAGCACAATAAGATGTTGCTTTACACTAACTAGGTGGCTATAAGCAAAAAGATAATAAGAAGTGTTGGAAAAGATGTGAGGAAATCAGTGCTCTCATATATTTCTAGTAGGAATGTAAAATGGTGTAGCCATTTTTCGAAAAACTGACCATTCCTCAGAAGATTAAACATAGAGTAACCATATGACCCAGCAATTCCAATCTTAGCCATATACCCAAGAGCTGTGAAAATAGGTGTCCATACAAAAACTTGTACATGAACATTTATAGCAGCATTGCTTACAATAGCCAAAAGGTATAAACAACCCAAATGTTCAACAACTGATGAATGGATAAATAAAATATGGTATATCCATACAATGGAATATTATATGGCAATAAACAAAAGTGAAGTACTGATGCACGCTACAGCATGAACAAACCTTGAAAACATTATGCTAAATGAACTAAGTCAGACCCCAAAGCCCACACATTGTATGATTTCATCCCACATAGAATGGTCCAGAATAGACAAATCCACAGAGACAGAAAGTGTTGCCTGGGGCTGGGGTTGAGATGTTGGGGTGATCTGGGGAGTCACTGTTAAAGGGAACACTTTTGGGGTGATGATGGTGTTCTAAAATTGATTGTGGTTATGGTTGCAGAATTCTGAAAATACTAACAATCACTGAGTTAGATACTTTCTCTGGTAGGTGATTACAGTAGGTCCCTCTCATCCATCGGGACATGTTCCAAAACCCCTAGTGGACGCCTGAAACTGAGGATAGTACAGGACCCTATATATACTATGTTTTTTGTGATACATACCTATGATACAATTTAATTTATAAATTAGGCATAGCAAGAGATTAACAACTACTCAATAAAATAGAACAGTTATAACAACATACTGCAATAAAAGTTACATGCATATGGTCTCTCCCCACTCCCCCCAACAACAGCTTATTGTACTGTACTCACCTATTTTCAGGCTGTGGCTGACCATGGGTAATTGAAACCACGGATAAGGGGGGCTGACTGTATATTTCAGCAAACCTGTTACATTTCAGTTCGCTTGTACTTGACACCAACTGCCTGGCTTTGTGGTGGACATTTTCACATGTATTGTATAATACACTCGAAAGCTCCCAAAAGGAGCAATCATCACCCCCATTTTGGAGATGAGGAGACTGAGATTCAGCATGATATGCCCAGAGTCCCACAGCAGGTGTGGGGCGGGACAGATGAAGACTCTGGTTTTCATTTGCCAATGGGGGCAGCCTGAGTGTGGACTTGGAGCCCATCTGTCCAGTGTGACCCCTCCTGACTCTTCAATGCTGGGCAAGCCAGTTGTCCTCACCTAAGCCTCAGTTTTGTCATCTGTAAAGTAGGAATAATAATAATAGCACCTATTTCAGGTACTACTATTATTGTGCAATTGGTGTGCAGTTTATTTTTTAATTACTATTTCAATTTTTTTATTTTTAGGAAACAAAGTCCCACGCTGCCAGCCAGGTTGAAGTGCAGTGGCTCCGTCACTGCAACCTTGAACTCCTGGCTCAAAGGATCCTTCCTGCCTCAGCCTCCCAAAGTACTGGGATTGCAGGCATGAACCACCGCGCCTAGCTTGCTGAGCAGTTTAAAACAGCAAGTCCCCTACAGTGCTTCAGCTAGCATATAGTAAATACTCAATAAATGGCATCTATTAATATTCTGTCACCATAGTATTGTCTGTTGTTTATTCAGTATTCTGCAGTATTCCCATTGTGATATGTAGGTATAGATACCTGAAAGCTACACTCTAGGGCTGATAGTCAACATTTGAAGTGCCCTAATCAGCAGTTTGCATTGGTTCACTTTGGAAGGATCTCAATCAAGAATCTACCCTCTAGAGCAGGGCTGGCAGGCCCACTTTTGTAAACAGCATTTTGTTGGAATGCAAACAGGCCAATTATTTACATATTGTCTAAGACTGCTTTTCCTCCGCAGTGGTAAAGTTGGCTGGTTGCAACACAGACCACATGTCCTGCAAAGCGAAACTCCTCACTAGCTGATTCTTCACAGAAAAACCTTGCATGGTCCTGTTCTACAGCAAGCCTTTCAAACGGCACCATCTACATCTGCGCCTGAGAGCTTGTTATTTAGCAATAAAGATTGTTAAAAACTAGTTTCCCTGGTCAATTGAATGGTGGTCAAGTGCGTGTTAACCACAAAAGTCCTATGGGCAGCAGAAAGGACAGAGCACGAGGCGAGCCCGGGGCCTCACACCTGGCAAGAGCACTCCCAGCCTAGCCTCTGGCTGGCCCGGGCGTCCCGAGACCCCCAGCCTCACAGGGATTCCGGATGCCGCTGGAGAGTTAGTCCATGTGCTGCCAGGCCTCAGAGCGTCCTTCCCTTCATGGTGCCAGCTCACATGTCTGGAAGGGCAGAACGCAGGGACCTCATCAATCTACAGGAAGACTGGCTAATCAATGTGTGTGTATGTGAGGACAGAATTTGGTAGAAACTGGCTCAGGGCAGCCTGACATAATTGCCTACTAGTTAGTTGTAGTTACTAGGCACTGAGCACCATGGAGGAATTGTTAAAACATATAAAACACAAGGCCTGGCATGCTGGCTCACACCTATAATCCCAGTACTTTGGGAGGTGAGGCCAGAGGATTCCTTGAGGCAGGAGTTAAGACCAGCCTGGGCAACAAAGTGACACCACTGTCTCTACCAAAAAAAAAAAAAAAAAAAAAAACGGCTGGGTATGGTGGCTCCCGCCTGTAATCCCAGCACTTTGGGAGGCCAAGGCGGGCGGATCACCTGAGGTCAGGAGTTTGAGACCAGCCTGGCCAACATGGCAAAACCCGGTATCTACTAAAAATAGAAAATTAGCTGGGCGTGGTGGCAGGTGCCTGTAATCCCAGCTACTCTGGAGGCTGAGGCAGGAGAATTGCTTGAACCTGGAGGATGGAGTTTGCAGTGAGCCGAGATTGTGCCATTGCACTCCAGGCTGAGAGACAGAGCAAGAATCCATCTCAAAAAACAAACAAACAACCAAACAAAAAACGACACACACAAAATCTCTGCAATCAAATTACGTAATAGTCGGAGGATCGTTCGAGGCGGGATTTTGAGACCAGCCTGAGCAACAAAGCGAGACCCCTGTCTCTACCAAAATAATAATAATAATAAAAACACACACACACACACACACACACAAAATCTCTGTAATCAAATTACCTAACGGTCTAAGTGAGATCGAATCAGCACAGAAGAGACGGTTAGGGGGCATTTCCACACTCACCTGTGTGAGGCACATCACGTCTGCAATGCAGTTGGAGCTGGGACATGGAGGTTTGGGTGTGTGAAGGAAGTTTCCAAGGGAAACGCGCGTGCGTGGCTGGAGGTGAGGAGTGCGAGAAGAGACAGGAGGCTGCTGTGACGAATGACGGCAAGGTAGGGGAGGAGGATGCGCACAGGGAGAGTGGGATCACGGAGGCCCCCCAAGAAGGCAGAGACGCCGGGTATTTGAGCCTCTGAGGACATGAGAGGCCACATTGAGGGAAACAGGTGGGGCAGGGCACTGGAGGCAGACCCAGCAGTGGTCCTGGAAGGGAAGCACAGCAGGCGGGAGGTAGCCGGGAGAAGGAACACCTGTGCATTCTCCAACTCAGAGCAACAGGACTTTGTCCGCAAGACCAAGGGGCCCAAAAAGCAAGATAGAGGCTCCTTCTCTAAAAAGCAAACTGTTCCAATGCCCGCTGGCACCCCAGTCCCTGAGTCCCATCTGCTGCTGGGCGCCCAGCCTCACAGGACTCTTGGGGAGCACTAGGCCAGGCCTCGGCCTGTTAGAATTGTCCTTTCTATTGTTTAGCTTTTCGTGTGTTTGGGTCTGTTCTCCCTTGGTCTAGAAGAGAGACAGCCAGACGTGGCCCACGGTCATGGGCTAGATGCCCAGTCCTGCCACTCGCTTGCTTTGTGGCCCTGGGCAAATTCGCTGCCTCTCTGAGCCTCTGTCACTTCCCCTGAAAGACCCAGCTAGGGGACACCTCCTCAGGGGGCGGAAGCCCTGACAGGGACACAGTGGGTGTTCTGTAAAGATCTGGTCATTTAGGAGTTTATAGAAGAGTCGAATAATGACCTTGGGCCGGGAGAGTGGAGTGACAGCAGTGCAGAGCCAGAGGTTAGCACGGGGGAAGAAAAGCAAGATTTTTGTTTGTTTGTTTTTGTTGTTGTTTGTTTTTTTACTAGAGATGGGATTTCACCATGTTGACCAGGCTCGTCTTGAACTCTGGCCTCAAGTGATCTGCCCACTTCCGCCTCCCAAAGGGCTGAGATTACAGGCGTGAGATCCACCTGGCCTGGCCGAAAGCGAGACTCTGACTGTAGGGGCTAAGGCTGCGCTCTGTGCCTCTGGTGGGAGTTACCTGCAGGCCTCCGGGGCGGCGCCCCGTGCATTCCCCCAGCAGCTCCCCGCAGGCGGCGCCCCGGTGCATTCCCCCAGCAGCTCGCTCCCTGCTCCTGGGGTTGCCTTGGGCTTCGGCTCAGAGGGGAGGCGTGGAAGGCATTTCACAGAGGTGATTTCTTTGTCAGGCGCCCCCGTGTCCTCCGTGCTGGGAAGCCTGGTCCTGATTAGGCCATCCTGTGGGTGGCCCAGCCTCACAGGCCTCGGGCTCTTTCCTCCTTGGTGGTGGATGGTACTGGCAGCCTTGGTTTTTCCAACCATGAGAAATTGCATGGGGTAGAAATTTGAGAGTGGCTTTTCCTCACTGCAGTCAGCATCAACAGCCTCCCTGTTCACCTTCATGGGTGATGACTCCCCCAGGGGCTGTGTCTCCCTGCTGACCACGGCTGCCTCCATGTGATGGGTCAGCCCGTGCGGCTCATGGCACAAGGTCCCCGTCACCCACACCCACTCCTGGGAAGCGACTGATGAAAGTGGCTAGTGCATTGTTGTTTTGTGAACTTTAGTAAAAATTCCTCCTGTAAAAACATTCAACAGACCCTTGAGACCCGTGACATGGTGAAAAGAGAGTGACTTTGGAGCCTGCAGACGTGGGTGCAAATCCAGGCTGCACTACTGAGCATGAAGGTAATAGCTGTGTGACCTTGGGCAAGTCACTTGCCCTTTCTGAGCCTTGTTTCCCTATCTATAAAAATCTGCTTGATGTAATTATCGGAAGGATTCAAGAAAACATATATAAATCACTCACTGTGGTATCTAGCATGTGTTAGAGTATGGCAACGATTATAAAAGTAAAAACGATTATTTATGTAAGTGTGACAAATTACGAATTACTCATTTTTCTTGCCTGGTGAATGTAGGACCAGTAGATGCTTTCTGTGATCTGAGTTGGCTGAGATGCTTTATGCGCCCACATGAGTCAGGGGTTGTGCTAGATCCTGGCATCCCATGAGTTTGTTTGAATCACACTCGCCCATTTCATTCTGCAGCTTGAGATCCTCGCGGGGAATTGGGCCTCTGCAATTTCAAAAGAGATTTCTGTTCTGAAAGCCCTTGAAATAGGCTCTTGTCCTCAAGTTATAGAGTTTTAGAGCCAGGAAGACATTTAGAGAGGACCTGGCCCAATGTCTTTGCTTTTAATGAAGAAAGACTCAGAAAAATGAAGTGATTAGCCAGGGAGGGCTGAGTAGGAATGGTCTTCACGGCCCAACGCATCGGGCATTTGCCGTGTAACGGGAGTGGTTAGGAGCACCTGGCCTGAAGTGTCTTCTTGAATCTTCTCTGGTCTGTTTTGTCCCCATGGTATGGTGAGGAATAGGGACAGTCAAGTCTTCAGTCTTCAGCGCCTGGGTTTTTCCTGTCATGGATGCCACCTCTCTCTAGCTTCATGGAAGGGACTCGAATGTTGCCGATGTTCAGCTGCTGTGTCCTCAGCTTTCTTATAGCTCCATAGCTGTGCTGTGGCTGTGGGGAAGGAGCCCCTGAGAAGCGGTCATCTGCATGGTCTCTGGCAGCCCTGTTAGGATCATATTGTGACTGGCCAGGAAACAGCCCGGGGAGGAAACAGCCAGATTCTTGTTTAAGATCAGCATTGGCTGTGAAAACCACACAGCCTAATTCTCGCCTCCATTCATGAAGAAGAAGGAGGGGAATTACAGAAAGAGCTTCACGTTTCAGTCCTTCACATGCCTGGAGTTAGCGTGAGGAGGCTTTATGGCCCAACACTCGGTAGCACCTCATTGACTATCCCCAGCTCAAAGCATGCACAGGAGGACACAAAAATAAATCTCTATTTGAGTATGCTCCTGTTTTACATTCAAGGGTTAGCTGTCCGTGTGTCTTCAATAGCAAATCATCCTGGTGATGATAGATCATAAGCTCAAGAGGGAATTGCCTCAGGAGAACAGGTACTTAATCATCGGGGTTGGATGGAGGTTGCCTCATCCTAGAGTTTGGGGGTGGGGGATGACCTCCAAGGCCCGCTCAGGACTAGCTGTCTATTCTAAAATACCAGTCTCTGTTGGGACTTAACCGGCCCAGCAGCAAGAGTCATGGTCACTCTGCCTCTTCACCCTCAACCTGCAATGTCATTGCTACGGGAAGGGATGGTCGCTGATATCCTCTGATTAGGGTATCCTGAATCTGTTTTGATGTGGTTATGAGTGGCTTCTTTCAAATGGAGTAATTGATTTTAATGGCAGCATGTAAATAATTAACAATGAGGCACTTACCTTCATACTCTCAAGGCTCTCCCGCTGAAGAAACCGTCTGCCTTTACTGCCACAGACGGGAGTCCTGGGCTGTGGAGTGGTGCACGTCACAGTGCCAGCCCCCATGGTTGGTTGTCCTGATTTTTTTTTTTTCCACTTATTTCTAGGCTGCTTGTGCAGACAGATGCATAGGCATTTCTATAGGTTGCTTGGTGCCTTCTTTGCACTTACCACTTTTTCAGACTTATCCAAGTATTTGGACACTTGTCTTTATTTCACTTCTTCTCTGCCAGATCACGTGCCCTATCTATTGTGTTCATCTCTATATTCCCTGGGTTTAAAACATCAAGGATGCACAAAGAGTAATGAGCAGGTAAACAGTAGTTTCTGAGTGAACCTGAGTTATGAACAAATAAACTTAGAACTCCATGCTATGGCAGATACCCTCTGCTGTGTGTGCCTGAAATGGCCAAGCTTGTTCCCCTGCAGTGAAAATGAAATCTCTTTGCAGAAGTGAGTGTGCAACACAGTTACTTGATAGTTACATTCACTTCTGAAATGGGCTACAACTTAATTCCTGTGTCTTGAGCATTGAAAGGGGATTTTTGTTATTCCTCATAATCTAATAATCTTCAAAGGTATTCTTTTCAGTTGTGTTTGCACCAGGATCCCTACCCTATAGTGTTATAGTGACTTCATGCTTGCCCAAGAATCTTCTCAATTTCACCCTCGGCTAATATACATTTGCATTTCTAGTAGGTCCTCTTGTTAAAGATAAATTTATAATTCTGTGCATGTATCTATGGTGGATCGAGACATGTTTTCCTGGTAAAAATACGTAGTAAGGAGTTTTGATTCACGAACATCTTTTCTTTAGCTACATTATTACTTCAGTATCCTCTTAATATGTTCAAAAGCTGAAACCCATTAAGATTCTTGAGAATGTTTCTTCAAATATGCTCTGATTATTAAAAGTGTAAAATATATAGAGTCACATCAATTTCTTCTGTTCACTCTTGTTTGGATGCAAAATTATATATGAAGGGTTTCAAACGGTGGCCTGTCATTTGTATCCAATCTGCAGATGTGTTTTAATTAGCTGGCACGGTGCTTATAAACTATGAGCCAATATTTAAAAAGCAGGAGATTTTGCATAAGAATCTAGACTGCTGGAAAATTTTTGTAGTTACCCTGCATGTCCACAGCAGGCTGTGACGGAGGGAGCTGCGTCGGCCGGGCCTGCTGTGCTTTGCAGGCCCACCTCCCGCTCCTTGCTCCTTCCAAGTCTCCTGTTTAAATTCCCGGAAATGTGGGATTAGGGGTGATCTAGGTTTTTTTTTTTTTTTTTCCAGATTTTATTTAACGTTGTTTCAAAAATTTTTATAACATTAAAGAAAAATAGCTTTGGAGAAGCTTATGTTGTTGCCTTAAGGATTAGTCTGTGTATATCCTTCTTAGTCAAATTGCACTTTGAGAATCTGTGAAAATTTTAGAATGGAACAGTGAGAGGAAGAGGAGCGAAAAGGTAGTGATTACATTGCCAGAGGCTTTCTTGGTCATTTCTTTGTGAGCTAGTTGAGTTATTCTGTGTTTGACTTGCGGCTTCTAGCGTTGCCAGATGTAAGAATGCCCCGAAGTGCGAGGTGGGAAGCAGCTGCGTTACGAACATCTCCTTTTTCATCTGGGGCAGGATGAGCCGTCACTTGCTGGGATTCCTCCTGAGTCCCTGTGGGTTTGTTCACCTGGAGCAGCATCTGCGTCTGGGATGGATGTGGAATGACGATAAACTAGCTGCCATGGGGAAGTGATGTCAAAATGTACAGTAAACCCAGAGAGCTCTGGAAACATCATTTCATCGAGTCCCAAACAATTGCTATCATTGGAGTTTTCAGTGTTTTGAAGTCGGCATGCTTCCCACAGGAGCAGTGCCCTGTCATGCGGGTCTCCCATCGCTTCTCTTGCTGAATGGCTCAGATCATGGCCAGCTGGCATCCATATTCACGTGGAACTCCACTGTTGGCATGTGGTACACATTTGTAGCAAAACAAGGATTTTTTTTTTTCTGTAGGTAGATGTCACTGAGAATATACTTATTTGGGCAATAAGGTCTCCAATGACAGGAGCTGGCAGGAGCACACCTTTCACCAAGAGACACAGGAAATTTAATTCATGGAATCCAAGGTGGACACAGGATGCATTTTCTCCTTAAAGATTTATAATTTTTTTTTTTTTTTGAGACAGGGGCTTGCTCTGTCGTCCAGTCTGGAGTGCAGTGGCATGATCATAGCTCACTGCAGCTTGACCTCCCAGGCACAAGCAATCCTCCCATCTCAGCCTTCTAAGTAGCTAGGACTACAGGTGTGTGCCACCATGCCCAGCTAATTTTAATTTTCTTTTTTTAGAAATGGGGTCTCACTGTGTTGCCCAGGCTGGTCTCGAACTCCTGGCCTCAAACAATTCTCTTGTGTCTGCCTCCCAAAGTTCTGGGATTACAGGCATGAGCCACCACGCCCAGCCTACAGCACTTCTTTAAAAAAAAAAAAAAAAAATTTTTTTTTTTTTTGAGACAAGGTCTTACTCTGTCACTCAGGCTGGAGTGCAGTGGCTCGATCACTGCTCACTGCAGCCTTGACCTCCCTGGCTCTAGTGATCCTCCCACCTCAGCATCTTCCCTACCTGGAGTAGCTGGGACTACAGGCATGTGCTACCATGCCCAACTACTTTTTTTATTTTTATTTTTGTAGAGACAAGAGTCTCACTATGTTGCCCAGGCTGGTCTTGAACTCCTGGGCTTAAGGAATCCTCTTGCCTCAACCTCCCAAAGTGCTGGGACAATAGGTATAAGCCACCTTGCTTGGTCAACACTTCTTAAAATGTGTTGAAACAGTTATAAGATTTGACTTTTTAATGGCCATAAACCAGAGCTTCTCTACCTCTGCCAACCTCTATGCCGTTTTGGGCAAACTATTGTTTTTATGGCTGTCCTGTGCACCGGGGGATGTTTAGCAACATCCCTGGCCTTTAGATCCAAGATGCCAGTAGCAACCACCCTCTTCTGCAGTGCCACAGTCAAAACTGTCTCAGCATTGCCAAATGTCCCCTGGTGGGCAAAACCATCCCAGTTGAGAACTGCTGTTGTCAACCCTCTGAGATCTTTTGATTTTGCCGGAACGGTTCAGAATTTTTCATCAAAGATCTCCAAAGGGACTTGGAAGTCTGAAAAACTGTGTTTCCTCTCTGGATCCCTGAAGGGCAGGGACTCACTTTCAAAATCAAAGCATGGAACATGCTTCCCTCTCCTGTTCCTTTGGGAACCAACCCTATCTCTTCTGGGCAAGTTCCTTCATCTTTCTTAGCCTCATTTCCATTTTTTATTTATTTATTTATTTATTTATTTATTTATTTATTTAGAGGCGGAGTCTCGCTCTGTCGCCAGGCTGGAGTGCAATGGCGCGATCTCAGCTCACTGTGACCTCTGCCTCCTGGGTTCAAGTGATTCTCCTGCCTCAGCCTCCTGAGTAGCTGGGACTACAGGCGCCCACCACCACACCCGACTAATTTTTTGTATTTTTAGTAGAGACAGGGTTTCACCGTGTTAGCCAGGATGGTCTCGATCTCCTGACCTTGTGATCCGCCCGCCTCGGCCTCCCAAAATGCTGGGATTACAGGCGTGAGCCACCGCGCCCGGCCACCTCATTTCCTTTTTTTAAAAAATGTAAATACCACGAGCCCTATCTGAGAAGGGTGAGGGAAGCCCGAATGAGATAATGTGTGCGAATGGCTACCATGTTGGAGGGCTTGGGTTCTTCGCACTCCTACCCCCATCCGCTCCCCATCAGCTCCGACATGGGAACCACCTGTTTTCAGCCAAGCACAAGCCCCCCAGGTTAGACAACAGGGTCCTATCTCCACTTCCAGGCAGTCGACTTTCCTGAGACCTGGGTGCCTTGGCCGCCCAGGCTAGGAGACTTGAAGCTCTTCTCTCCTCAAACCTGGGCCGATTTGCTTGTTATCTTCTCAAAGGGTAGAGTGAGGGCTGCTGACGCGCTCCTGGAACAGTCACCGTGATGACTCGGGGCTCCGCTGGCACCCTGGGCACACAGGCCGTGCTGTTGCCTCCCCTCCCACACCCTCCGGAGATTGCCATTTTCTAACGCAGTTCAATGGTTTCTGCATCTGCATATAAATAAAGTGTATTTATTTCTCTGATTCTCGTAAGAAAACCCAAAGCCACAGAGATCGTGTTTGAAGCTCCAAAACCCATGACTTGAGGTTTCCCTCCCATGGTGCATTCCCCTTCCACCGCATGGACGGGGGCTGCACAGATCTCTGCTCTGCTCTAAGGGGCCCGAGGCCGAAAGGGGGGCAGCCCGAGGGAACACACCAGGCTGCCAGTGTCCTTGCGCTTCCTCTGCTCCTATTCAAAACCACCACGCTTTCAGAGAGGCAATTGCTTTTGTGATCTGCAACCGTGGGAGGCTCCGGGGGCCATGGGGCTTCCTTTGCTTCATGTTCCTCTCCTTTCTTTTAGAGTTGGAATCTTGTTTGGGTAACAGTTCAGCAGAAAGAGTGTTAACCATTTCTAGACAGGCAGAAGCGATCTGTGTATGCTGTGTGTATTCAAGAAAATTCACGGCTCTTTTCAATAAGGCATCTAAGGCCTTATCAGTAAGTGCATCAGAGTAAAAAAGGAAAGAATAAAGAAGTTAAATTCATTTACGTATATAGGCTTGTATACCTGTAGAATCTCAGAAGGAATCACAAGAGACAAAATAGATTGCCTCTGTGATGGAGGAAGGGAGATTTGATTTCACTCTCCGTGTTCGTGCATATAAACCATTGCATATCTACAATATGCATGTATTTATTAAAAATAGGATACAATTTCAAACATAAAATAACAAATTGAAAAAATTAAAGACTGACACACAAGCTTTCTAAGATAAGGAGGGAAAAAAAAGAAAGAAGGTTGAGGCAGCTTGCGGAGATACATTTAACAGCAGAGAGGAAGTCGGGGGCGAGGGAGACGCACAGGACCTGGTGCCTAAGGGCGCACACGGGGACATTGTAGAGATGACTAGGCCTCCTCCAATATGCCAGTGAGCATCAGATAGCCATCTCTGTAATGTCTCTCAACGTGGGCTCAGGCTCAGGCCCAGGTTGGACTCAGAGGGGGTAACTGTGTCCACCAAAAATTCTTCCCTGAGTACTTGGCCCTTTTGTGGGCTTGGGAGCTACAGACAGGATTTTGAATAGATGGTACATGTCTTTGGATACTCTTTCATGGATGTTACAATATTTCTTAAAAATCAGCTTTGTGATAAGACCCAGGCAGCAGAGCTTAAGATTCTATTCTCTGGCAGGAACCTCAGTACGTAGACTCAAATTTGCCAAAAAATAGCAAATCCACACCCTCAGATGATCGGCCACAGCCCACCTCTCGACTCTGCACAGATAAATGTGCAGCTGTTGGATCTTCCCTCACAATGGAGAGGTCCAAAGTGAAAAGTGTTCAGTTTTGTTTTTTTTTTGATGGAGTCTTGCTCTGTCACCCAAGCTGGGGTGCAGTGGGGCATGATCTCCGCTCACTGCAACCTCTGTCTCCCGGGTGTTCATGCCATTCTCCTGCCTCAGCCTCCTGAGTAGCTGGGACTACAGGCGCCCGCCACCACGCCCGGCTAATTTTTTTGTATTTTTAGTAGAGACGGGATTTCACCGTGTTAGCCAAGATCGTCTTGATCTGCTGAACTCGTGATCCACCTGCCTCGGCCTCCCAAAGTGCTGGGATTACAGGCGTGAGCCACTGCGCCCGGCCAAGTGTCAAGGGCAGGCCTCAGAACGCTCTTGACAACGTGAAAAAACCATGCTATGCTTTTTTTCCACAACGCTGGCTTGAGCCCGACGCAGGAAGCGTTGATGGGGAGCTGTGCGTTTACACGGTTCAATCTCCTTTGACGGCACGCCCTTGCCCTGCTCAGTCTTTTGCCTGTACAAAGCCCACCCCCTACCAGTGAATCACTGTCCCTCCCTGCTTTCCCTTGCCCCGTCAAGGCAGCTGCACTCCCAGGTGAGTGCTATTGTAAATCTCAGATCCACCCACATCAGGCGCCCAGGTCCCCGAAGGACAGCCTTTGGCTGTTCGACCACACTGCCATGTGCTATGAAGTGGTCACAGCCACGATTGGGATTCCAACAGCTCTGGCAGTTCCCAAGCGCCAAAGGGAAGATGGAGAATTTAATCAACCTCAGTAGCCATTTACTGCTCCATATATTACAAAACAGAAGAGATTATGTCTTAATTACACGCCCTTTATTCCAAAAGGCCGTGATCATCTGTGGTGGCCACTAGCATTTAAATAAATCATGGAAAACATGTGTCTGGCCTCTGAGGTTAATAACGTGCTGGCGATCTTTCCAGGAGCCAAGAAGTTTTCTGTAATCATGGACAATTGCTGCATGGGCTTAAATCGAGGGCAGAGCTGAGTCACTTGACTGTAAACACGTGGTGGAGAATGTCTGGGCTCATCTTGACTTTCTCATGGTGCTGACGGTGGGAGTGTGGGTGGGGGGCACTGGGGATCCGGTCCCAGGGAGGCAGCCGCAGAGGAGCTGGGGACCCTGCAGGGCTGTGGCCACGGTCCTGGGCTCTCCCACAGGCCCTGGCTTCTCCTCTCTTGGAGGAAATGCAGCAGACATTTAAATATTTCCAAACCAAACAAGACACCCTGAAGGACGCTCCTCCTGCGGCCCCATCATCTGCTTCAGGCCAGATTTGGAAATATCAAACAACAGTGACAGAGGCAGCTTGGCTTTGCAGAGGACGAATAGGGAAGACAGGAAAACAGAGCTGGTGGCTGCCACTGTGCTGGGCTGCTGCCCTCAGACTGGGAGACTGCTTTTAAATATAGCAAAGTCAGGAATGCAAGGTGTCTTCAAGTCACAGTTCCCTGAGTGTCCCCCACCCTCCTCCAGCATCCACAATAAACTGGTTGGGCCTCAAGGGTTTCCATGGGTCATATGAGTTCTTTTTGACCTGGAAACACTTCCTTTCAGGTTTTTCACGGCTATTTCTCAGAGAGCATCCTTGTACTCTCATTTATTCTAAAAAGGCCCTTCATGCTCTCTCCTGCACCCAACAGTTTAATCAGACTTAACATTTTCATGTGGGCTTTGGATGGTGACAGAAATAAAAGTACTAGAATCAAACCATCCTTCCCACCTCATCCCCCAACCCCAGAGCCACCTCTTGTCTGTTCCATAAGACTACAGCCTGCTCCAAAATTCTGAAAAGCCTCATCTAATGTCAGCACTGAATTTGGGGAAGGAAAAGGAAAGTTGTAACTCTGGCCTTGTTCTGCACATAATTGTGAATAGAATTGTGGTTTCTTTCTCTCTTTTGTAATCTTGCTTTCCAAATTAAAACCCCTCAATGACTCAGCCTCTGCTAGGGACTGAGAAAAAGAGTCTTGCAAGGGCCATCGAGAGAATGCCTGGGTGAAAGCCAGAGGGCAGTGCGGGAAAACTGCAGTCCCCATCTCCAGCGGGCCTCACAGATTTTGCCTCCCCAAGCCTGGTTCAGTTCCCTGGGGGTAATACGGCAATGGCACCCCCACCCTCCCTGTGGGAGAGGGGCTTGAGTGCTGTGTAAGGGAGTCTGGGCCAGACTCTGGTTTTGAACTCTGAGGGCAGGTCCTCCTCCTCTCCATGCACCCCGGAATCTCCCTTCTTACCAAGCCTCCTCCTGCCGAGCCAGATCTCTGCCTGGGGATTCCTGCTTTCCTCCTCCCCTGTGCCCTGGGTGGGAAGTTGGCCTCTGAGGGCCGGGCCTGAGCTCCCATCCCTCCCGCCTCACTCCCGGGGAGCCAAGACTGGGCCTGGACACACCTGGTTCTCATTTGGGGTTAAGCTGATGGAGACACGGCCCGCGGGCTCTCAGAGCAGCTGGTTCTCTCCCATGGGACCTCAGTGGAAAGGGTGGGAGTCCTGGAGGCCATGCAGGCTGCCTTTGCCCAGCCTCCTCAGACGCTGGGGTCTGTTGCATTCTTTTTTTTTTGAGATGATGTCTCAGTCTGTTGCCCAGGCTGGAGTGCAGTGGTGTGATCTCGGCTCACTGCAACCTCCGCCTCCTGGGTTTAAGAGATTTTCCTGCCTCAGCCTCCCGAGTAGCTGGGACCTCAGGCGTCCACCACCACACCCAGCTAATTTTTGTATTTTTAGTAGAGACAGGGTTTTACCATGTTGGCCGGGCTGGTCTCGAACTCCTGACCTCAAATGATCCCCCTGCCTCAGCCTCCCAAAGTGCTGGGATTACAGGCGTGAGCCACTGTGCCCAGCCAAGGGTCAGTTCCATTGTTAGGGGATTAATGGATGACATCTACTCCAGTGTGGGCTGTGTCTTGGGCTGTTCATGAACTTAGTGGACAAACACCCTGTATCTTACACCCAGAGTGTATCTTACCAATTGTCAAGCTCAAGGGGTACACAGATCCTGCCAGGAAGCCTCCCCCATCCTTTCACAGACCAGCCCGATTCTGATGTGTGGAGTCCGATGGAGTTGGGTTGGGGTTTCAGCTGTCCCAGTTACCAGGTATGTGACTGCGAATGATCTTGCTCCTCTAGGAAGTGGGTTTAGAAATACTTGCCTCCTAAGACTCTTCAAGATCCCACTCACAGATGGCTAGCAGAGACCCGGGGCCCACAGAGAGCTGCCTCTGTGAATGCCCAGCGTTTGTACTGTGCAACGATGCTAGCTCATCCAAGTTCAAAAAGGGGAAAAAAATCTTTGTCCTGTCTTCTTCCTTTTTTTTGAGAGGTGTGTGCCTTGATGCAGAGACAGTGTCTGATGCAGTTTCAGGGGCACTGCTGCCTCTCCCAGGGACTTGTGGAGTCCATAACTATAGGCTTTGCCCTCCCCAAAAGAATGCAGTCCCGCTGGGGGCTAGAGCTCATTTGCGTGCTGGCTCTAGCGTTTTCTCTCTGCAGGAAATAAAATCTAGCTTCCAAGCCACTCCATGCTCAAGGCACAGATGGAGAGAAGGGATGGGCCTCGCTGGTCTGGCTCTCTGAGAGCCTATTTAATCTGGAGCTTACTAGGGCAGGGGAGAAGGCCTGGGGTTGTGGACCCAGAAATCAAGTATATTTCTGTCCAGCTGTGAGCTCGATTTATAACTGTTATGGTTGAATTATGTTCTTCACACTCCCACCTCCCCCAAAAAGTATGTTGGAGTCCTAACTCCCAGTGACCTCATTTGGAGATAAGGTCTTTACAGAGGAAACTGAATTAAAACAAAGTCACTAGGGTGGGCTCTGGTCCCGTATGACTGTGTCCCCATAAATAGGGGAGATTAGGACAGATACACACACAAGGAAGAGCATGTGGGGACACAGGGAGAAGACACCGTCTGCAAGTCAAGGAGAAGGGCCTCAGGAGAAACCAACCCTGCTGATACTTGGATCTTGAACTTCCAGCCTCCAGGACTGAGATGATAGATTTCTGTGTGTAAATCACCCAATCTGTGGCACTCCGTTGCAGGACAGACCTAGCAGATGCCCTATGGCTTTTCTAGGCCATAGCCTCTTCAGGGCTGCTATCTGGAAGGGACTCCTGGGGCTGTGGGCGGGAGACAGCCCACAGCCATCTCTGGGACATTATCTTTAGTGTGTGTACTTGTGTTATTCCCAGGGCACAGTAAGGAACAGGGCTTTCCCTATAGCCTGGAGGGGCCTGTCTGTGGGCTTCACTGATCTGGCGGCCAGTGCCCACTGTGAAGACCTGAAGCTGGAGCAGCCTCCTTACTTGGCACTGCTGCTCAGTTGCTCCTTGGCAGAGATTCACATCCGGGTGGAGGACTCCCAGCCCGGCGACCTGCCCCATTCCTCTTGGGATGGGGACTTGCTTGAAAAGGATGGGTCATCTAAGAGGAAGAGGGATTGCCCTTGCTGATCAAACCCTGTTCTTACCATTGCAAGGGGACACCCCATGTTCAGAGCCTGAGTCAGAGCCCTGGGACCTCACCGCTTCCTGGAGCCATGACGTCCTCTCCACACTCCACGCAGATAGCTGGCCAGCCTCGGCTCTGGGCTCCTGGAGGAGGCACCCTCCCTAGCCTGTTCTGGGAGATGCTGCCCTGTGCTGTGGTTCCAGCTGGGGGCCTTGTCCATGGCCAAGGGGCTTGGGTTGGCCTCTGAGAACAAAAGCAACCTTTTAATTTAAAAGAGGCAGTTCTTCCTGTTTCTGGGATTAGAGCAGGGTTGTGATTAGAAAAAAGGAAACTTCAGAAGATGATGAAACCACTGTGGTGGATTTGGAGATTTGGGAGGATGGCAGGCGTGATGGGATGTCAGCCTTTAGTGCTTGCAGATAGACCCACAACTGAATAGCAGATTGTGTGCGAGTGTGTGTGTGTGTGTGTGTTTGAATGTTGCTGTGTGTGTATGCATGTGCGTGTGTGTGTCTCGGTGTATCTGCATGTCTGCATGTCTACATGTATGTCTGTGTGTGTCTGTGAGTGTGGGTCTCTGTGTGTATGTCTATGTGTGTCTGCGTGTCTGTGTGTATCTATGTGTTTGTGTGGCTCTGTGCATCTGTGTGTATGCATGCATGCTTTTGTGTATCTACATATCTCAACATATGTGTCTGTGTGTGTCCCTATGTCTCTTTGTGTTAGATGTCTGTGTGCAAGCGTGTTTGTGTGTCTTTATGTCTGCCTGTCTATATCCTTGCTTGTGTATGTCTGTGTGTGTATCTGTATCTGTGAGTGTCTATGTGAGTGTATGTGTCAGTGTGTGTATCTGTATCTGTGAGTGTCTATGTGAGTGTCTGTGTCAGTGTGTGTGTTAGTGTCCGTATTTATACCTCTGTGAGTGTGTGTGTGGATCTATGTCTGTGTGTGTGTGTCTACATCTGTGTGTGAGTGTGTCTGTGTTTATGTGAGTGTGTCTGTGCCTATGTGTGTCTGTGTCTATGTCTGCATGTGTGTGTGTCTGCGTGTATGTCTGTGTCTATATGAGTGTGTGTGTCTGTGTCTATGTGGGTGTCTATGTCTTTGTGTGTGTTTGTGTGTGTATTTGAGTGTGTGTCTGTGTTTGTGAGTCACTATGTGAGTCTGTGCATCTATGTGTGTCTCTGTGTGTGTCTATGTGTGTGTGTATGCGTGTCTATGTCTGTGTCTATGTGTTTGTGTCTGTGTGTGTCTATGTGAATGTGTGTGTGTGTCTATGTATTTGTGTCTATGTGTTTGTGTGTGTCTGTGAGTGTGTGTGTATGTGTGTGCATGTGACTATGTGTGTCTATGTCTGTGTGTGTGTCTGTGTCTATGTCTCTGTGTGTGTGCCCATGTCTCTGTGTCTATGTCTGTGTGTCTGTGTGCGTGTGTCTATGTGTGTGTGTTTGTCTGTGTGTATGAGTATGTGTGTGTCTGTGTATCTGTGTGCATGTCTGTGTGTGTCTATGTCTGTGTGTCTGTATGTGTGTGTCTGTGAGTGTGTGTCTGTGTGTTTCTATGTGAGTGTGTATGTGTCTGTGTGTATATGAATGTGTCTGTGTGTTTGTGTCTATGTGTGTCTATGTCTCTATGTGTGTGTCTGTGTGTGTCTATGTGTGTCTCTGAGTATGTGTATATGAGTGTGTGTCTGTGTGTGTGTGAGTGTGTGTACGTCTCTCTGTGTGTTTTCTTTAGGCCGTGGCTTCCCTGTGCTTGGCCTGGAGCCCCGGGCGTCCTTGGCTTTGTCCTCTCCCGGTCCTGCGGGCGGCCCCGGCGTGGCCCTTACTGCTGGACTACTGTATCTTAGAGCACAGGGCTGTGAACAGCCTTTGCCATCATGCCAAGGAGCATATTGACAGCTGCCCTTGGAAGAGGCCCTGGGCAGGTAAGGCCAGGCGGCTCGGCTGCACCAGACGTCCAAGGCGCAAAGGGACATGTCCCTGTGACCTGAGTTCCCACAGCCTCATCCTGCCGTGGCGTGTCCGTGCCTTTCCTTTTCTGTGTCCCTCCCTCCTTGAGCTCCTGCCCTCATGCTCGGCTCTCTCTCTTAGAAAAAGGCCTGAGTAACTGATTAATGTGGAGCTATGCCTGGTGCCTGCTGGGCTGTGCGTCCCTCCTCTGCAGAGTCTAGGGGTTCAGCGTCTGCTCCCAGCTTGAGGGAGATGGATCTAGAGCAGCCGTCACCTAGGGAGCCCCAGAAGCCCCTGCCGCCCCAGGCCCATCCAGAAAGCTCGCTGTTAGGGTCTGGGGTGAGTTGGGGAGTCTGCTCGAGTGTACTGGGGTGTAGAAGGCTTGCCTGACAGCTAGGAGAATGCGGCTGTGGCCATAGCTTCCCCACCTGTAGACGGCTGTCCTGGAATGAGGGCGACTGTAAACGCAATCCTGCTCTCCAGCAGCATGGCCTGAGCATTAGAAGAACCAGGGGAGCTTTTTTCTTTTTAATTTTTAATTGACAAATAATTTTGTGTATTTATCAGGTACGATGGGATGTTTTGAGCTACGTATACATTGTAGAAAGAGTCAATCAAGCTAACACCATCACCTCACCGACTTCCCGTTTTTTTGTGGTGAGAATGTGAAGAATCTATTCCTTTAGCATACATTATTATTACTATTAACTGCGGTCACCATGGCACACAATAGATCACTAAAACCTACCCCTGCAGTCTACCTGAGACGTGCCCTATGGTCAATACCTCCCCTTTCCCCTTTCCCCATCCCTTCTTCTCCCCCAGCCTCTGGTAACCACTTTTCTACTCAGTTTCTATGAGATCGACTCTTGGATTCTCCATATAAGTCAGATCATGTGGTAGTTGTCTTTCTGTGGCTGGCTTATTTCACTTAGCCTTAAGTTCTCTGGTTCCATCCATGTGGTCTCAAATGACAGAATTTTCTTCTTTTTTAAGGCTATGCCGTATTCCAGGGGTCCCTGACTCCTCTGCCCCGTCTGTGGAAAAATTATCTTTCATGAACCCGGCCCCTGGTGCCAAAATAATTGGGAACCACTGTCATATTCCATTGTATGTACAGGGAATTCTAAAAATCTGTTCATCAGTTGATGGGCACATAGGTTGATTGCATTTCTTGGCTGTTGTGAACACCGCTGCAGTGAACCTGGAAGAGCAGACATCTCTTCCGCATACTGATTTCAGCTCCTATGGAGCGTCCTCCAGAAGGGGGGCTGCTGGAGCCTCTGGCAGTTCCATTTTTAGTCTACAGAGAAGCTGCCATACTGTTTTCCAAAATGGCGGTGCTAATTTACATTCCCGCCAACCGTGCGCAAGGGTTCCTTTTCCCCCACATCCTCGCTAATACTTATTTACTTTTTGTCTTTTTGATAAAAGCCATTCAGATGTGTGTGAGGTGGTATCTCACTGTGTTTTCATTTGCATTTCCTGATGAATAGAGAGGTCGGACATTTTCCCACAGACCTGTCGGCTGTATCCAGGGAGCTGTTAAAGTACACCTCGGCCTACCCCAGGTGACTGTGTGAACTGGCCGGATGGGCCACGGGACGGCCGCAGGGGGTTTTTTTTTCCCCCTGGAGCTTGCTGGGCTACTGTGCACTCACTCAGGCTGTGAGCAAGTGTGTCATCCAGAGTGAGTCCGTCAGCGGACCTGGTGTCTTTGGAATCCCTATTGAGATGCCAGATCCTGGCCTGGTTCCCTGTGTCTCAACCCAGCTAAGCAATTCTGTTCTGACAGCAGGTCCAGTTCCTCCCCTCCTTGAAGAACAGCTCTTAGCGGGGATTAGCACACGGCGCGCTGGGGCCCAGTCAGTCAATCAACACGGTCTACCGACACTTCCGCTCTGTGCTGCGTGGAGCTGCTGAAGGAGGAGCGAGGAGGCAGGTCTTCCTCTCCCCACACTCCAGGCTTGGACTCCACCTAACTCACAGCGGTTTCCAAATCTGAGGGGGAGGTGCTCTGCCAGTTTGGGGAGGTGAGGCCGTGCCACCCGGCAGACGAGTCACTGCCCGGCTGTGACCGAGCCTCCGTTGCCAGGCTGGAGGGTGGAATGGGCCCTTCGGAGGGAAAGCTGTCCCGCTGTCCGCTCCGTCTGTGCTCTCGTGAATACAGTTAAGCCCACAGGCCTGGCGATGCAGCCGTGGGATGGCCAAGGCTCCGTATCTCACACACGTCCCCCAGGACATGGAGAGATGAATATTTATCAGTTGGATTGCTGTGGACTTGGGGCACTCTGAACTCAAAAAGAACTTCCAGGACTTTCATTTTTTCCCCAATGACCTTGACGTCTGTGTGCCCTGGCCCTCCCTGGCCATGTCTACATTTGTGGTGTTTTTTCTTGCTAAGATAGTGTTTCATAGAGGCAGGTTTGGTAAAATGTATTTCCGTTCGGATAAAATATATTAAAATATATTTCCATTCTAAGTAAGTCAGTGCCTGTTTTGAATTAATCACCATGATGCAGAGTAATTAGGTATAATACGAATCTACAAAGAGAGTGTTTCTTTTGGGAAGGAGCTGCTAATTCCCTTTAATGCCATACCGTGGCCTATCCTAGGGACCTGAAGATTTTCCCCAGAAATCGGACTTCCACTTTCTAAAATCTAAGTCAAGATTGTTCTCCCTAATTCTGTATAAGTCGCTGTGGCAGTTCAGAAAATTTGATCATGCACAACTAGAGAATTCACTTACTTCCCCAGAATTCAGGCCAAGCCAAGTAAAACAGAAGTCCATGGGTCTTTCAGCTCGTGGGTTGGCACTGGGGACCTGGAGAGAGAATGGTGGCCTCAGAGGACAGGAATCCAGCTTCCAGGGCTGCCTCTCAGCTCCAGGGACAGGAGCTCAGGAAATGTCTGCAGACTCCTCCTCTCCAGACCTCTTTCCCTCCTTACCTCCCTCCCCCTGCTTCCCTCTCCTCCTCCTCCTCCACCCTTTCTCTCCCTCTGTCTCTCTCCCTCCTTCCTCCTCCTCCTTTCTTCCCACACCCTCCACCCATCTTTGCCCTTCCTCTCTCTTTCTCTGTGTATCTCTCTTTCTCTCCCAGTCTCTCTTCTTTCTTTGTCTCTCTCTTACCCCATCTCACTCCCTTCCTATCTCCCTCTCTCCCTCCCTCCCTCTCTTTCTTCTCCGTTTCTTTTCCCTTTCCTTCTCTATGTGTCTCTCTTCCTCTCTTCTCTCCCTCTCTCTTCCTTTCTCTTCCTCTTTCCCTCTTTTTGACTATCTTCCTCTTTCCCCTCCTTCTTCTCTGTCTCCATCTCTCTCTTTCTCTTCCTTTCTCTCCCTTTTCCTCTCTCTGTCTCTCTCCCTTCTTCACCCACGGTTCTGCCTACCCATTCATATCTAGGGATCACTATTGCTATCCTCTGAGATCACAGCCCCCCTTCTTTGCCTTTTCTCTGTTCTACCCTCAAAAGGTTTTATAACCAATAATGGAGTTTCTTTTCCTGTCTGCTCCCATTACTGCCTCCTTCTGTTTGTAGAATTCTGACTGGCTGCTGTGTGCAAGTACCTAGACTTATTGTTCCACTGAGGCAGGTAGACTTCAATGATTCCATCTGACTCCTCTCTGCAATGTTTACTACAATAAAACAAGAGGCCTCATTGCTTTGAATAAAAATGGGGAGATCCTACTTTCTGGCCTAGGGTTCAAAATTAAGCCTTGCATTTTCCTAGGGGCCCATAATCAATCACAGAGGCATTTAGATGGACAAACTATTTGAAAAACCTTTCCAGATCTTTGCTTAACCAATTAATAGGCTATCCTTAATACCTATCCATTGGAACCTATAAAAAGATCTGTAATCGAAACTGCCTTTCAAGAGCTGCAGTTTTCAGAGTGTGGTCCCAGGACCAACATTATCAGCATCACCTTCTTTTATTAGTTTATTAGGAATACACATCTTTGAACACAACCTTGGACCCACTGAATCAGAAATGGAGGGTGGGGTGGACCCACAGCCTGTGTTGAACAAGCCCTCCAGGTGATTCTGATGTGCACTCAAGTGTGAGAACTGCTGCTTCAGAGGGAATATTCCTGCCACTCAAAGATCTGCAGTGTCAGTTGCAAAATTCTTAGAGGCAGTGTTGGAGAAACGAGGGAAATAAACTGAAATCAGAAGACATGGGTCAAACCCCCCAAAGTCATGACCTAGTCAGGAGCTAGTACAGATCTGTAAATAAGGTCAATATCAGCACCTCAGAGGGATATTGACAGAATTAAGTAAGATAGCCGTGTGAGATTTGGTAAGACAGCCACGGTGCCCAGCACTTGATGCATGATGCTTAGTAGTTCCCTGGTCTTGTCTTTATGTATACAGCTCCAATGAAACCAACAAAAAACAATAATTATTATAGAAAACAATAAAATCTTTTAATATACCACTTTATTCCGCCAATGAGCAGAAAACCTAAGTTCAAAATCCATTTGACGAAAAAACAGTTGAGGTATTTATCCCTAGTTGAGTTAGTTCATTTATTTTCACTTATAAAGGTGTAGCACTTTTTTTCAATTTAATCACTAACATTTGAGCAACTTTTAAAGCCAAGCACTGCATGTTTCTCCAAAAAAAAAAAAAAAAGGGTGAATATAAATGAGTCTATGTGTACGTGTGTGTCTTTGAGGGACAGTTAGGAGAGAAACAATTTTGACTCAAAAGGAAACAAAACAACAGCCTTATTTGGGGAGAAATGTAGAAATGAAGAATATACGTAGCAAGTCAGGGCTTTAGCATCTGCTGAGCATGGTCAGGCCTGTTCTTACTGAATTGTGATCTGGTTTCAGGATGAGACAGTAGGCGAAAAGAGTAAAATAGAAAAAAGCCCACGCCTGGGCAACGAGGCAAGACCCCGTCTCTACAAAAATTAAAAAATTAGCCAGGCATGGTGGTGCGTGCCTGTGGTCCCAGCTACTCAGGAGGCTGAGGCGGGAGGATCACTTGAGTCCAGGCGGTGGAGGCTGCAGTGAGCTGAGATCGTGCCATTGCACTCCAGCCTGGGCAACAGACCACGACCCTGTCTCAAAAAAAAAAAAAAAAAGGAAGAAGAAGAAAGAAGAAAGCAAAGTATTTCCTAAAACTGGAAACCATAACTTATGAAAGTGAGATACTTAAAAATGTCTCTATTGGAAGGCACCACAAAACGGGTCATTTTGTCAAGTTCTTGCGCAGCTTGAAGGAATCATTGAGTCGCCTTGGGCGGATCTCCTCGCGCCACCAGGGGGCGCGCTGGGCCTCCCAATGCGGCCAGGCAGGCAGACGCAGTTTTCGTCTTTGAGGTCCTGTCATTCTCTGTATAAACAAGTTACGTTCAAGTGTTTAGGATATAAATTACGACCATGCCGGCTGCCTCGGAAGGAATGTAAACACAGCACTGTGGTCGGAGCAAACTCTGAAACTGACTTCATAATTTATAGCAGGCCCCCGAGTAGCTCACTATAAAAGAAAATAAAAAGGCCTTATTTAACTGCAAATATGATAATGGAGAGACAAAAAATGTTTAAATCACTTCTTAATTTTAGAAGATATAGGAAGGAAACCTAAAGATTAGAAAGATGGTTAAGACTTTCGGAAACAAGATGTTTCACTCAGGAGACGCTCTTTGCAGTGAAATTCACTTAGAATACAAAAACCCTGGGGTGTGAAACAGTTCCCTACGAATACCAAGAGTCTGGTGACTGACTGGGAGAAAGACCTTTTAAGGGATAAGAAACAAAGGTGAGTTTTCCAATCAAGAAAGAAAAAGCAAAAAACAAAAACAAAACTCCAGCCCTGAATTGGAGAGGAAAATGCACAGCATGATTGGAGCAGATAATTTCTCTGCTTCTCTCAGACCCATTGTCCCCAACATGGCTCGTGATGGTGAAGGGCTGCTGGGACAGAAGGTCAGTCCTCCTGCCTAGTTGGCCCATTTTGCTCTTCCATCGGGAGCGTCACCAGCTCTGCCTGTAACACTGGTGACTGGGAAATCTAGCAGGAACAGAAAAAGGGGCTGAGGGGTTCCCTTGTTAAATCCCTGGTTAAAAGGGAGGAGTGGGGAGAGGAGGCCGGGAGGAAGGAAGGGCTGAACCGGCTTGCTATGTGCCGATGCTGAGCAGGGCCAGCCAGGCTCTGAATTGGAGGGTGGGACAGGCCGCAGCCACAGAGCAACGTGTGGGGAGTCCAGCTTCTGTATTAAACTCCCCAAGGAAGTTAAACCCCCTGCTGGGAGCCTGCCCCCTGCAGCTCAGGGATCCCCCTGCATTCTTCAGATCTGAACCCCATTTCTGACAGCATGTGACCGCCACCCATAACAAAATTGCAACGTGCAAAGGGAAGAAGCAGGGTGCTGTTCTTTGGGCATCCAACCCTGGAGGGGGGCTTACCACTGTGCCCCACATCTGTCAACCCATGCCAGTCGGGAGGGAGAGAGGGCAAAGGGCAGAACACTCCCCGGGCACAGGAAAGAAAACAGAAGGGGCACAAAATTGGTTTCCTCAAAATCAAACCCTGGTCGGTATCTTGCCTGGTTTTCTTTCTAGTTCCTTTCACCTTCTGGTTTTTGTTTTGCCAGAAAAAGCTGGGGTGAAGTAAAGAAAGAAATAACAGAAAACGTTTCTTCCACTGTTTTTCTCCTGAGAAGACTCACAATCAGAACCTGGCCTGTGTTACTCAAGGCACAGACCCCACACCATGTCAGTTACACCACTGGAGGGGGTGTGGGTAGAGTTGCACAGCTGCCTGCCGGGGAGGAGAAACTGGCATCCATTGCTCTCAGGGTGCCCGAAGAGAAAATCAGCCCCTAAAACAACTATTTGTTATATACATTTTATTGAAAAAAAATTTTACAACAAAATATTTTGGCAAACTGTAAAAGTATACATAAGTGCAAATATATCCTCCTTTTAAAATACAAGCAAAGTGTGAGTATACACGGTCATAAAAATATCTTTAAAATATGGTGGTAGAAAACAACCTTGTAAAAACGTTGTATTGTCACAATACTGAAAACCACTTTCTTAAACTAGACACATTGTTTCTAAATAATTCCTTAATAATGTTCTTTGGCACCTGTATCCAAATGTAGTGTCTGGGGAAAATGACTCTCCCACTCAGCTAGGCAACAAGAAGAGGCTTTCTTGAAATCTTGTGCTTAGCACTGCCTTTTTGAAAAGCACACAAGTTTTCTTAGACACACACACACACACACAACTTGTCTGCTTTTTTCACACCCTGATTACTGAAGGCAACGAAGATCCCACAGATACACGTTGATGCCTTACGCATGGCACATCTTCCCACCTGAGTCTGCCCTCTCCCTCATGTGGGAGCCTGCAGGTATTCAGATTGGGGAACGCTACCTTGCCAGCGGTTGTCCTTCTTCCAGCAGTAGGCAAATAACAGTGACCAACGCGATCCTGGGCATTCTGGCTAAGTGGCAGGTGTGTGGCTTACTGCTATCCGCGTGCATGTGACTTGAATCCGTCCCAGTTTCTATCTGCCCCCTCTGAGGAGGGGAGAGGAGAGAGCGGCCATCGCTTGGCCTCTTTCCGTTCACATGACGCAGGGCTTAATATCCTGACAGACGCTCTGGTGGTGATGGTGATAATACGACCCGCTAGCTGAGGGATGGAAAGAAGAAATCCCATTGAAGTTGAGGACGAAATCTTTTCTGTCACACACTGGAGTAGAGTGATGCTGGTAACGGGGCAGTCCCACTGAAAGAAGAAAGAAAAAAAAACCTCTTCAGAAACAAAGTCATCCAGTGGATGGCAGGGTGTCTTATTTTGCCTCAGAGTACAAAAGGTGCTGCTGTGCCTTTTAGTAAATTGCTAGACAGCTGGTAGAGAAAGCCCAGCTTTAGAAGTAGCTCAAACACACCAACTGCACGTCATAGAATTGCTTTGGAATCATTATGTTTTGTTTTGATGCTCGCACAAACACAGAGCAAGTTCCCCCTCGAGGGGGATTCTTATGTCCTGGAATTCCAATTTTATTCTCTGAGGCTGGGGCGTGCACTTTAATCTCAGAATGAGCACAGGTACCGGACAACTAGACCCAGACTCTGGTTCCGGGTCTCTCCCGGCAGAGCTCCTGGCCTGTGCTGCCCTGAGCCCTGGCTTCAGGGAGGGCCAAGCACCCTACCCCAGAAACACCACTGCGGCCTTCTTTCTGAGCCTTGTTTCCCAACTAACTGGGCCGGTCACAGCAGCGAGCGCAGAGGACTCCCTGTGCCAAAGGGGACGATAGAAAACAACCCAATCGCAAGATGAAGGGATGGGGCAGAAAAGCACGCCTCTTCTCCTGCCCCTCCGCAGGCATCTTCGTGGGTCCCGAACGTCTTAGACTTCCTCTAGAGAAGCCGGGACTTCAGGGCGCAGAGAAATGCCCTTTGGTCCGAAGCATCTGGCAGCGCGAGGAGTCCCTGAGGTAGCCCCAGGCTGGAGGGGGACAGAGAAGGCCTGGACCCTGCTCTCCCGGGGCGGCTCCCCGGTCCCCGGCCTGCACCGGGCCGCTTGACCTCCACCCGCCGCCGGCTTTTGCTTTTGCTTTCTCGGCGCCTCCTGGCCCCGGGGCGCAATCGGCCCGCAGTGCCCTGCGCACTGGGCCCCAGAGGCTGCTGGACCGGGCCCTCTCGGCACCGGGCTGCGTTAGGTCCATTCGCCCGGGTCTTTTCTTAGTTAACCGAGTGGTGTGGGGACCATAAAGTGCACGTCGCTTCGGGCCGGATTCAGTTTTTCAGTGCAAGAAAACCGTAACCACGGCCCGCCGGGCTCGGGCCCTGCTCTCGTGGCCTCAGCCCCGCCGTGTCCCCGCAATGCCGGAGCGAGGCGGCTGCTCAGGGGCCGCTGCCTACTTCCTTGCCCGCAACACCTACCCGAACACACCCGGCGCTGCGCTAACGCAGCTGCCCTGTCCCGCGAGCCCCGATGTGTGCGCGGCGCTCTGCACACAGGTGAGTTCCCTCGTCGCGTTAAAGCAAGTTCTGATGGCAAGTCCTGGACCACAAAATAGCAGGCTCGGGAGGAGAGAGGGCGAGCGCTCACACCTGCCCACGAAGGCGGCCGTCGGCGCTTTGATGTGCTGAGCGGGATGACAGAAGCCCGAGCTCCTTCCTGAAGTGCTCGCAGGGCTTAATGGAGAACTCCAGGGCAGCCCCTGCGCCGGCAGGGGCACATGGACCATGGCCACCAGGCCCAGGAGCGGAGGGCGCGGCCCTTGGGGTGTGCTGGGGGAGGGAGGGTCGTGCTGGGTGTGTGCGCGTAGACATGTGCTGATCTGTGTGCCGGGGAGACTGCCTTGGCCACCCCCGCGCCTCGCCGGGCCCCCAGGCCTCAGTGGGCGGCGCGCTCCCAACTAGGCCCCGCGGGGTCCCGGTGCATCCGGCCGGCTCCTCCGAAGCCTCCACCGCTGGCGCTCCAGGGAGATGGCAACAGGGCCGGGTGGGTATCCTATAGGGACGGGAGCAAGACAGCGAGGAAGGAAGGGCAGAGGGTCCCTGTCGGGCGTCAGGCCCGAGCTATTGTCTCCCCCGGGCGTTCCCAGACTCGGTCGGGGGTTCTGCGAGGCTCCCAGGGAAGGCCGGCCGCGGGAGGCCGCTGGGTAGGGGCACAGAGGCCGGCTTGCTTTGCTGGGCAGTTTTCACCCCCTCCAAGACAGTAATGTATCCAGATTCCGAAGTTTTGGGAGCTTGTGCCTGCGCCCAGTGTTATGAGGTGGGGCGAGAGCAGCCTTGAGGAAGGGTCAGGAGTCTCTTTCCTGTGTGCTTTTTTTTCTTCCTAGAGTACGGTTTCTCCAAGGCTGCTAAGCCTCAGAGTCCGGGTTCAAGTTGAGTGGATCTGCCGGGAGAGGAGAAGAAGGGGAGCAGGGAGGGCAGCTGGCAGGCTGGGAGAGGAGCAGGCAGGCGGGGAAGGGAAGGGGCCAGTGCACCGAGGGGTGTGTGTGTGTGTGTGTGTGTGTGTGTGTGTGTGTGTGTGTGATTGACAGCCGGTCCAAGGGAATACAAAAATAAGAGGGGAAGGCCGCCTGTATTGGTTACTTGTTGAAATTCCCATAAAATTGAACAAGACTCTGTTCTCAGTGGGTTAAGTCAGGCTAAAATCCTCTCCGGTGTGGTCCTGCCGAGACTGTCTTTGTTTGGTTAACCTCTGAGACCCACATTTAAAAGGCCTATTTGGGAAATTTCACCGTCCAGGGAACCAACATCTTTTGCCCATTTCTGGGCTTTCCTTCTCCCCGGGTGCTCCCGCTGCACACCGGCTCAGGAACACATAAAGCATGCATCACCCTCCAAGCCACTGTCTCATTGCTGTGGGAGGCCAGTGTGAGAGAGTAGCTTGGGGCCTTGCCTTTGACTGGCAGGCCCATGGGATTTTAATCTGCAGCCCTAGGTGCTCCGAGCGAGGGGTTAATGTAAGGGTTTATCTCTGTTCTTCACATTAACCTGGTCAAATATTCAAATTCCCTCTTCCATCCCTACCGTCCCCTCCCACCTTTCACCGCCTTCAGCAAGTCAATAATTTTTCATAATCTGCAACCAGAACAATGTAAACCAGCCACACTACAAGTGGCATCCACAGGGCAGGCGCATTTCTCAGGGGAGTCCTAGCAGGGTCCTTCAGGTCCTGCCACCCAGGACCTGTATCATCAATGTGGGTCCATTGTTGGGCGGGGGGGGAGGCAGGGAAGGGGAGGAGTCTCCAACAGTTTGGTGACCCCCTCCACTGGCAAATGTCCCTTTAGTGAAAGATCCTGGGATCCAGCTCTGTCCCTCCCACCCCCTCCTCTTAACACTTGCCCAGCTGCAAACATCTCGCTGCAGACACCCCAACATACAGAACATATCTGATTCTGACATTTACTTCGGGACAGAAGTACAGCAAAATGAACGCAAGGAAAAAAAGGGACAAAAGGAACTAGACACAGCTTCCTGACCAAGTTCCCCAAAGGCCAGATGCCTTCTCTCCAAGCTAAGTGAGACTCTGAACGGGAGACCTGCAGTCTCCTGCACAGGGATCCCCAAAGAGCCCAGGAAGGCAGGGGACTTTACACCACGCTCACAGCAGCCAGACAATTCTGAAGCTTCGGCTGCTGGCCAGGGATACTGGGAGGACAGTAAGACCCTGATCCCTGCTCCCACGAATAAGATGCCGGCTTTCCCCAGCATCTGCTTTTCCCAGTGCCCTCAGACCTCCTAGCTTCGGGGTCCCTGTTTGTGGGAGTGGCAGTGGCCGCCAGCCCTGGAGGCCTAGAAGCGGTGCGCCCAGCTGGCTGGGCTGGAGCGTGCTGCGTTACCTGAGAGGTCCTCGCGAGCGTTCTGGTGCAAGTAGCTCTGCTCCAGCGAGTAGGAGGACATGCTGGAGTGCAGGCCTGCCGAGGCGGCGGGGTTGCTGCTGGGCGTCAGGGCAGGCGGCTGCTTGAGGTAAGGCGAGGCGCCAGGCGAGCTCCAGTGCGCCGCAGGGCTCGTGTAGGGCGAGTGGCATTCGATGGCGCTCGCCATGGCCGGGGACGAGGGTACCGGGCTGCTGCTGCTGTCCGGCCCGTAGTCGCCGCCGCCGCCGCCCCCGGCCGCACCGACGCCCCCGGGTCCCGCGGGCACCGGGCAGCTGGCCATGTAGGTGGAACCCGGGTTGGGCGACATGTGCGGGACGTGGTGGTGGTGGTGGTGGTGAGGGTGCGCGTGGCTGGGGGCGCCCGCGCCGGCGTCGTAGCCCGCGGGCATCATGTCGAGGCCGCCGTAGCCGCCCTGGCTGTGGCAGCCGAGCGGCGCCGACGGGGGCGCCTGGAAGTCGAAGCCCTGGGGCAGCAGCGACGCCCCGAAGCCCAAGCCGCTCACCACGCGGTGGTACATGGGCTTGAGCGCCTGGCACTTCCGCCTGAAGCCGCGCGGCCGGCGGCGGAACGAGCCCTCCTCGAACATGAACTCGCTGGCCGGGTCGATGGTCCAGTAGTGGCCCTTGCCGGGCCGCCCGAGGCCCTTAGGCAGCTTGATGAAGCACTCGTTGAGCGAGAGATTGTGGCGCACCGAGTTCTTCCAGCCCTGGTAGGCGCCGCGGAAGAAGGGGAAGCGCGCCTGCAGGAACTGGTAGATCTCGCTGAGCGTCAGGCGCTTGCTGGGCGAGCTCTGGATGGCCATGACGATGAGCGCGATGTACGAGTAGGGCGGCTTCTCGGGCCGCCGCAGCCCCGAGCTCGCCTTCTTGGCGCCCCCGCTCCCGGCGCCCGCGCCGCCGCCGCCCGCGCTCTTGCAGGCAGCCGAGGGGGCGCTGGCCGAATTGGAGGAGGACGAGGACGAGGCGCAGGAGGCGGAGGACGACGACGAGGAGGAGGAGGTGGTCTCCGGGGCGGCGGCGGCGGCGGCGGCGGCGGCGGGCGGCGGGCTCATCAGGGCGGCCTGGAGCGCGCCGGGGACCGGGCTGCACGCGCGGCGGAGCGGGGCCGGCGGCGGCCCGCCCTCGGTGGTCATCTGGGACCCGGGAGCGAGGCCGGGCCGCGAGGGCGGGCCCCGGGCGGGAAGCGGAGGCGCCGGAGCGGGGTCGGCCCAGAAGCCCTGCGAGCGCCCTAGCCCGCCGCCCGGGCTGCAGCCGTGGCCACTCCGGGCCAGCGCTTCGGCGTCGCCTCCCTCAGCTCCTCTGGGGCTTCTGGCGGCGGCGGCGGCGGCGGGCGGGAGGCAACGCCCGGCGCATCCCTCCCCGAGCCGCGGGCCCTGCCTTGCGCAACGGCCTCCCAGGCCGCGGGGCCGAGCGGCCGGCGCCGGGCGACTGCGCCCGCGAGTGGGACCGCGGCCTGGACCCCGGGGACGAGCCCGACGTCTCCCTTCAGGAGCGCTCCTCGCTCTGTCTCTCGGACTTCCTCCCTCCCTCGCCCTCCCCGGCCGCCCTCCTCGCTCCCTCCCTCCCTCCCTCCCCCCCCACCCCGCCCTGCCCCCTCCTCGCTCCGCGCCGCCGCGCTCACTCCTCCCCCTCCCGACCTGGCGGCCGCCTCCCTCTCTTATCTCGCTCCCCGCTCTCCAGGGTCTCCTCGCTCTTCATTCCTCTCGCGGCCTCCTCCCCTTTCCCTCACTCACCCTCTTTCCAATTGAGGGATCACAGACTCACTCCGGTTCTGCCAGGGGGACGACCCCCACCCCTCGCAAAACTCGACCACCTCTGACTTCATGAAATATTCTTTCTGTTTGCCCCCCGCAGCAAGCCCCGCGTCCCATCCCAGGACCCAGCCCCGCCCCTCCGCGCCCCCTTCCTCCTCCTGGCCCGCCGGGCCGAGTGGTGCTGCTGCGGGTGCGGCTGCTCGGAGCCTCCCTGGCCGCCCTCCCCAGGGCCGATACTGACTCCATCTGTCAACTTCGTTTAGACTTTGCCGCCCTCAGCCACACGCCGGGGTGCCAGACGCCCAAAGGTAACGTGCCAATCCTCTCTCTTTCTGGCAGGGCCTGCAGGCTCCCCGACAATTGTTAGGGCGACTGGGGGCCGCCGCAGGGTTGCGGGCCGCTGGCGATCGTGGACGTTTTCGGAACTTTGAGCAGAGGGATTTACACTGAGAAACCTAGGCCAAGTTTCAAAGACTCTGGAAACCTGGATCTCATGGGACTTAGGGTTGCATTTGCTTCCACTTCTTCCCCCCACCCCCGCACCCCAGTTAGTGTTCTGTAAGAAAAAAGTGCAAAAGAAAAAGGAAGGAAGGAAGAAAAGAAAGAAAGAGAAAGAAAAAGAAAGACCCTGAGATAAGCGAGATGGCTATATTTATAGTCAGTCCTGAAGGGGTGTGCAGCTGTCACTAGGTTTACATCCTCCGTCTTAACATTGCCCACCCAAAACTGTGCCAGGTCTCAGCTAACTCCTGTCCGAGAACACTTCTCCCCAGTTGTGGCTAATTCCTCCCTAAGTAAGAGTCAGGCTCTGAGAGAGATGTGCCCTCGGGAGCAATCACTTCCAATGAGACCCGACAGTTAGTTATTGGATTACACGTGCAGGGAAATGTAGTCCGACCAGGGATAGGAGCTGGGAGAGGGAGGAGGAGAGCAGGAGGCCGGAGCTGGCGGGGCCTCCCAAGGGCTGAAGGGGGAGGCCCAGAAAGAAGGTGCTGCAGACCAGCGGACCAAACAGGAGGTAGAGCTGGGCACCCCGCTGCGTCTAGGCTGAAAGGACCGAGGTGCACGGGTGTGCCTGCTGGGGAGCCTGGGGAGTTGCAGGAGGCAGGAGAAAGGGAGGTTGTGCAGTAATCAGGAGGAAGACACCAGGCAAAGAGCCTTCACAGCCGCACAGCCTAGGCAGGCCCCCTGGGGCGGCAGGAGCCCTGTGTGCCCCTGGAGTGCCGGGGGACTGCTCCTGGCTGAGTGTGCTGGTGGGGCTGTAGATGCAGAGAGGGCGGGTGGGGAGGGGAGGGGTATGTGGGAGGGGGGTGGGCCGGGGCTGGCCCCAGACAGTGACCTGAGGTTGAGTGGAAGCAGGCTTTTTCCATCAAACCCTGCCTGGATACCACACACAGAGACCGAGTGTCAGTTTACTGCCCTGAGCCGGCTCCTTCTCCCTAAGCTCCACAGTAATTAGACAAAGAAAACCTAAATTAGCTGAACAGGCGTCGACAGCTTCCTCCAGAGCACCCCTGGTACCTACATGGGAATGTGTCCGAAAATGGCTTGATTGTAGCCGAGAGTCAGCTAAGAAAACACCGCCAAACCGAACTCAGTTTACCACTCATTTCCAATAGAAAAAAGAAACAAGTCGCTCTTTTCCGGGTGGGATGTTTTGATTGGGTTGGGGTAGGGCTTCGCAGTTGTTTCCACTTTCTAAGAATTTCTGACTGACTGCTGAGCGTTTTTGGGGGGTGCGTCCCCATATATTTCATGGTATTTTTTTCTCTTGCCCTCATTTGTCATTTTGTGTGGAATAACTTAAAAATACATAACTAAATATGAAAGTAAATATAATGTGTTCACTAAACCAATGCTCTAAGTGCCTAAAATATAATTATTTTCATAAAATAGAAGCTGGAGTGGGGAGGACAGATAGGATCTTAAAGGAGCTCTACTGACATAGAGTTCAGTGTGTGTGTGTGTGTGTGTGTGTGTGTGTGTGTGCTTTAAATGGAAAGAGCCCAGGGGAGAAGCTTGTGGGGGAAAAGGACAATTATCTCATTTGTAGGTGGGGGCGGTGGGCAACGGGCTTTGGAAACATTCAGTACTCATTGTCACTTAGCCATGGACTCTCTCTGATTCTCTGTGCCTGAAAATTATATGTATTTGGATCTCAGGGAATACAGATCCAACTTGTTAAGAGCAGGCCTTAAAAGGTTTTAGGACCCGGAGACTGAAGAATAAAAGGCGCTAACCTTAAAATCCAGGCAGGACCAGTGATAACCTTCTATACTAGTAGCTCCCAGTTTTGGGGTTATGGGGTCATCCTCTGAGAATACGATGGAAGCTATGGAGCCAGTTTCCAGAAAAATACTTCCAACTTGCCTGAGATTTTAGGAAGTCCACAGGTACTCATTAAAACAAACAAGGAAACAAGCAAAAAACCCCAGATTCTTTTAGCTTCTACCAATTCAGCTGGTTAAATTATGAGGGATTTTTTTAAAAGGCTCCTTTCTCCATCCAAGCAACAGCAGTATCCATTTTACCTAAACTCTAAACTTGCAAGAAATCCCACTTAGAGTGTGGTGAGTGTTATGAGGGCCGGCCAGGTCGTGGGAAGGCAGTGGACATTGGAGAGCAGTTAGGGCCAGGAGGCGGTCAGCTGACTGGAAGCCTTCCCTCTCTGTAGGGGTCTGCATACTGCCCCTGTAGACCCTGAACTCCAGAAAGATAAGCAGCTTGGGGGCCTTCTTAAGTTATATCAGCAGGAAGGCTCCTCTCCAAAACTCTTTCTTGGATACCCCACTTCTGCTTCTGGAAACTATTCTCATGGCATAGACCACCACCACGTCTACAGTGACTAAACCCTGCATCTGTTTGTTACAGACCTCGCAGGTACCATCTTGTCACCCACCAAGTGGCCCAGGTATCATCATCCTCCTTTTGAGGTGAGGAAACTAAGGCTCAGAGACTGGGTGACTGGCTACAAGTCACGCTGGGGCAAGTGACAAAGCTGGCCAGCAGCCTGGGCCTGGAACTCCAAAGTCAGTGTTCCTTCCACTGCATTACAGCAAAGCCTCTCTGAGCTTTGTTTTAATCACTGATATATACAAATCTCTTGAGTAAGAATGTATGTGATAGCAAATTATGTCAATTTCTGTATCCCTGGGAGGAATACCTTAATTTCTGGTTAGCAGACAGGGTTTAAAAGGAAAGCTGTGTTTGTCTCTGAAACAGAGCCTTGCTTAGGATGGCTCCCCCACCCCCCTACTGGGGTTCCTTCTTATGGGGGTGAGCTCTTCACTCACTTTCACTCCCTATAAATAACATGAATCTTGACATTTTTTTTCTTACGGGAAGGGAAGGTATGGTTCATATAAATGAGTCTAGATCAGCCCAGGCAGTCCTTGGTTAACCAAAACTATGCAGCCTCCGCCGCGATGGGTCCTCTCTCCATCCCGCTTTGGTTGACTGTCCCGTCTGGGCTGCGGGTTCCTTTCCCCTCCAACCCTTTAGGTCCCACCCCTGCCCCAGCGCAAGGGAATGTAAACTTCAACAAGCTTGGGTTTCTCCGATTTTGTTCTGTAATCGGCGTTTTATTCTAGGAAATCTCCTCATTATTGCGGTTTAAATTCTGTGTTCTTAGCATGCTTCCTCTGCTTCGTGGGTTTCACATGAAATGGCTTAGACTAAACCAGTCACCGACAGGAGAGACGCATCCGCACCGCACTGTTTGCGGCCATCTAAGACGCACCCCTCCCTGCCTTCCGCCTGGGCCCGGGAGGAGGGAAGCCTCTTCCCAATTCAAAATGAGACTGACCCCTGTTTTCGCTCTGTATTTAGGCGCAAAGTTAAGTCGTGTAGAGGATTCTCGAACTCCTGCGAGGCCTTTCTAAATGTGGACGGCGAGAACTCAGTGCTGGGGCCTGGGGGTGTCAGCGTGATTGAGGAAATGCTGGAAGAGCACCAGCCTGCACGCTGCAGAGGCCTCTTTAGAAACTTCACATAACAGCAGAAGATGCGGACGGGAACAGCAATAGGAGGACGCGCGGAGGCGGGGGTTGGAGAGAGCAAGGTGGCCGGGAGTGGGAATTTCACACCTCTCCTGGAGTCTGCTCTCCTTCCTAGGTCCAGAAACCCCCAGACCTCCGGGCCTGAACACCAGCCACCCAGTTCCCAGTGTTTATTTGGATAGAGTCTTCCGCTCTCCAAAGGCTTGTGTCCCGGTCAGGGCTCTTTTTATAGCCACCTTCATGAGAGATCTCCCAGTAGCCCCAGATCTCCTGGCCTGGGCGGTGGGCACGACTCGATGACCCACTGGCCAGGTCTGAGGGTGCTTGAAGGGGGAAAAAGGGGTCCAATCTACGAGACCCTCAAGCGAAGACCGGCCTCACCCCATTTCCGCACTTCCCAAATTGCCGGGCGCGGGTCCCCTCGGTTGCGAGACCAAAACCTTGGGATGATCCCAGGAGCCAGCCCAGCGGCCTGCAGGCCCCGATCCCAGTGCGCAGGCCGCGGTACCAGGCGGAGCACCTCTTCGACTTCGCCTACAGCCCGCTGCGTTTAGGGGTGGCGAGTTGCGGGGTTGCGGGGAGTGAGTGGAGAGCAGAGGCGGCCCGCTTTGTCCAAAAGGCAGAGAGAAGGGGCTTAGGTTGGAACAGAGTCGGTCTGCGTCTCCCAACGGGGGAAGAAGGGGGGGCACCCAGCGGCTAAAGAAAATAAGTCAGGAAGCCTGTACCGCAAGTATTCCTGGAAGCAAGTGTGGGTGCCGGTGGCCCTCAGCATGTTAACTTTTCGCCCACTGATGCTGCTGGAAGGGACGTCCCCATGCTTTAGGTCGCAGGACAGAGCTTGCAGATGCCTTGGAAACCGGTAGGAGCCAAGCTGCGTCCTGGGAGACCCCCGAGCTCTGCACACCTTCCCTCCGCCCTCCCGGCTGTGGCAACGCTCGGGGGTCGTTTAGGGGTCCGCGTGCCTTTTGCTCCGCGGCCCCCGGCCTCGGATCCCCTCCTCCCGCCCGCCTTCCCAGGCTGGGGAGAAAGATGGCTAGGCCGCGCACACACGCTGGGCAGGGTTGGAGGGGCCGCGGGGCCCACCCAGGAGGCGCCCGCGGGGCCTGAAGAGGTCACTCCGGGCACTGCACGCGGGAGGGTGCGCGCCGAGGGCTACGGAAGACACCAGCCAAAGGCGCCCGGAGGTCGCCAGGCCGCGCCTGCGATGCCCTCCAACCGAGACCAGAGGCTGGCCGGCTGCGGCCGCGCGGGGAAGCGCCCTGGAGGTCCCAACCCAGCCCGGGCAGGGCTTTCTTCTCCCGTCTGGCTGGTCTCCTCCCCGCTGCCCTCCCTTCCCCCAAATAAATAAATATTTCCGAGGGCGGCGAACTCGGCGGGGCGCCGGGTCCTGAGCGCCTGGGCGATAGATGAACTTCCTGGCGCATCAAAACTCCCCTCTCGTCCTCCCCGCCGAGCTCAGGATATGGGGCGCGCTCGCTTCTCTTCAGAAAAGGAAACGTAGCTCTTCCAAAAATATAAATCAGCTCTGACGTCCAAATATTTCTTTTGTCCTCCAGCATCCTCTGTGGGGATAAATAAAACGTGCTCGGCGCCCAGAGGCCGACTAGGGACCTCAGGGCGCCCCGACGCCGCCTCCGAGAAGCTGCTTTGGGGAGCCCCCCAACCCCACCCCTCCCCGCAGCCTGGCCAAAGGCCCCGGGCCCCGGATGCGGCCTGACCTTCGGGCGGGCTGCGGCGGCGGGAGGGAGGGACACAAGCCCTCCGCGGAACCCCGGCGGCCTGCGAAGGCGAAAGGCGCCCGAGGCCGACCCAGTCGGGGAGGGGAGCTCGTTCGCGATGGGCCAAGAGAGGCCGGGGAAGCTCCGGGCGCGCCCTAGATGAGTTTGGGCCCCCAGGCTGCCTCTCCAGGCCGAGCTGTGCCAGGGAACCTACGCCCCCTCCCCTTCATTTCCGTCGGAGTTTCTGACCCCAGGGCAGCCTCCTCCTCGTGGGGACCCAGAGTAGTTCAAGTTTGGAGCACGGAGGGCCCCGACTGCGTCTTTTCCCAGCCGAGGCTGAGGCCGAGGCTGCTGCTCCTCCAGAAGCCAGTCGGCTTTGCGGCCTCAGAGGACACCACTGGCCTGGGGCGTGGCCCTCGAGGCTCTCCGCCCGTCAGACCTGGGGTCGGCTTGAGCCAGGTGACCCTTTCCAGCACCCCTGCCTCCCAACTCCCGCCTCCACCTTGGGGGAGGTGGACAGGTTTTCTGTAGCGGCTTGGAAATCTATGCCAAGGTAAACCACATGCACGAGGGTGGTTGAGATGCAGGGTTCTACAGGGGCTGAAGGGAGATCCTCCTAGGGGAGCACGGTGGCTGGAGGCGTGTCCGCACCTCCACTCCCCTTCCTGCTCCCCTGACTCCAAGGCGCTGAGAGCCCACGGGCCTTTCTGCTGCCCTCCTTTCCCAAGAAATCGCCCCATGGCACCCACGCGGCCAGTCTGCAAGGCTTTGGGGGTCAAACGGCCCAGGCAAGGAGAAATCTCCATCTGCTCAGGGGGAGCTCATCCTCCCCTCACGCCCTGTGCCCCACACCGAGGACTGTGTTCCAGGCCTGGGGCCTCGGGGCTGCGCGGCGGGGGCTGGTCTCCAGCCGCCCCTTCTCTCCAGGGGGGTCTTTATTGATGAGCTGCCTCGAAAACCCCCACCCAGAACGTCCCAGAAGGGTTTAGACAATCCATCACCCACCACTTCAAGGATGCTTCCTCCCTTTCAAACACAATCCTCGCACACCAGACGGGCTGCGGTGGGGAGGGGCGCGCACTTGAAAAGAGAACAGCTACATAATCAACGTCAAAGCCGTCCCGCAACCTTTCGGAAACAGGGACTTGGGCCAAAAATCCCTCAGGATGATTTACGGGGGCCCCCTCGCCCTCTCCGCCTGCCTCCACGTGACTCTGGCCCGCGCCCGCACGGCAGCCGCACACCCTGCCCCGTGCCAGGCAGCCCCGGGCCCCTCCGCGGGGAGTTCGTGTTTTAGGAGAAAGTGCTTTTTTCTCTTGGGGCCCGGGGGAAAAGGGGTCTCGGCCTGGCCAGAGAGTGCTTTGGTGGCTTGGTCGCGGTATCCTCGTGGGTGAACTGCGAAGGCCGGGCCTGGCCTCTTGGAGTCGTCCCACGCAAGTCACCTTCCCTCCCGCCAGAGCCCCGGGATTGCGCGGTGCGGGCTGCGCCTCCCTCTCCCCTCCGCGCTGCGCCTCCCTCTCCCCTCCGCGCTGCGCCTCCCTCTCCCCTCCGCGCTGCGCCTCCCTCTCCCCTCCGCGCGGGAGCGGGAAGAAGCCGCAGTTCCTCCGGCTTCCGCGGGGTGGCGCCAGGCTCTCGGGAATCGCGGCCCGCGGGGCTGCCCGGCGCGGCCGTCACCTGCTCGCGGCTCCCGGCGCCCCGCGACCCGTGGCCCCGCAACCCCTGCAGCCGAGGCCGGCCGGTGTGTGACCCGCAGGCGGGCAGGCTTCTGCAGCATCGCCTGTCTCGCGCTCGGCTGGCCCGCTTAGGGCACGTCCCGCGTTCCCGCCCTACCCTACCCGGACCCGCAAGAAGAGGGGGCAGCCGAGTCGCGCGTGGGCACCTCTCCGCGGGACGCAAGCGTCTTTAGGCTTTGCTGAAGAAACGATCATTCAGTTCCGTTATTTGGTTCTCTGAAGCAAGGGACGGGGGCTCTGTGTCTTCATTTGTAAGTTGTCCCGGAGCTCCTGGAGGTGCCCTGCGGTTTGGTGGAAAACAAGCAAATCAACAAATCATCCCACCCGCCCGCCCTTGGAGAAGCTGGATTCGGCCGACTCTGCGCGGCGTCAGCATTCTGTCCCTGAGGAAGTACCTCGTCTTTCGGTGGCTACAGGGACAGAAAGACAGCGATTTTTAAAAATTGTGATTTTTCATTTCTTTTAGCTTCTTAAGAACACCCTTGCAGCTGTCTAAACTCGTCCTGGTAGAAGTCTGCAAGACAGGAAGGAGCTTGAGGGGTCGTTGTGGGGCCGGCTTGATACAAAGGGGAGGCACCAGGTGGATCGGGGCGTCTCAGCCGGGGCTGCAGGATCTTTTTATATTTGTTATTACGAAAAAAGTTTCATAGTATACCAACGTGGAGCGAGTATACGCTCTCATACGCCCATCACCTACATGTAACAGTTACCAAGGTTTTGCCACACTTGCTTCATTCATCTTTCTGTTTTCATTTCTTGCTGAAATATTTTAGAGGAAATCTAGACATCATGTTTTAAAAGCGCACTTTGTAACTCCTCTCCACATCTCCGGTTCTAGCTCTCATACCTAAGATTACATTTTGGCATATGCACGCACACCTTCCCATGAGGAATTTCAAAATAGGGCTGAGACATTGTTGTGGATGTGTATTTTACAAACAGAACTCTCCATTTCCCCAGGTGACTTACAGCTCTGAGTTTCTTGGCTTTCTTCTGGCTGCTGGATCTCCAGAAAGGCTGGCAAATGTTCCCTCCCCCACTCTCACTGCAGGCCGGGTACACGCAGTGGCTGTAAACGGTGAAAAGGAGTGCTGTTTCCTTCAGTCACCAGAGTTAATCCCAGGATGCCTTCCATATATGCCCGACAACATAATGTATCACAAGAGCACGTGTCCTTTGAAAATATCTGCAGGTATGCATTGTCCATGTGCACCGTACAACAGTTTCCAAATCATTTTTTTCCTGACAGTGGCTAGCTGTGGAAGAATTTTTCATATCATCTGAAAGTGCCTGAGGGAGAATTTCAGACTAGGCTGGAGAGGTGAAGGAGTCATGGGGAGTGGACCACGGAGCATGGGAGATAAGTTTGGCTTTATATCCAGCCCCCTGCCCCGAGGACTCCGTACACATATTTCACAAATAGTTGTTTATTGATTTATTTGTTGTTTTTGCCCCCCAACAATCCATGTTGTGCTCTTAGCATTTCCCTCACCCCCAACGCCACCCTGCACAGATGAGTGGCGATGCGGTGGTCACATTGCCCTCGTTTACAGTCTGAGAAGTGCACCTGCTCCTGATTACCTTAAGTCACTTAATAATGTTTCTGGGCTTGTTTCTGTTTTATGGTAAAATGGGGATCAGGAAAACAAAAGTAAGAAAAAATGATGCCCCCTCCCACAGTTATTATAAAGGTGAAATAACGGTTATAAAAAGGTATTAACATTCTGACATACACACATTTATAGTTATTTTTGGTTCAATCCAATAAAAACACTTTAGTTTTAAGGCACCCTCTAAGTTTCACGGTACTTGGGATCTCTCATTCCCTGGGTAATCTCTCATAGGCGGATTTGGGTTTGTCTTTAATGAGGAAAATATGGGTCCATTGTCTACAAGTGTGAGCCTGCCTATGAGGACCGGGGTCCCTGGTCTCCGGGTGTTTTCGGGCTGTGGGTTGGTTCTCTAGGGCTCCACTGCAAAGAGGGAGCTCTGGGAGAGGGAGAAGGAGAGGGGATGTTTCCCTTGGTTGGACCTCGAGGTTGGTTCCTCCAGGTATATCAGATTCCTTTGCAGCACTGGGGGTCCAGCCACAGACAGCCGGTCTGCATTCGAGGAGTCTTCTGCCCCCGAAATCCCATCCGGCAGAACGTGAAAGTGCAGTGGAAAGAAAACTCGACTGCGCAGCTCGCAAGGGCGCCTCGCGGGTTCCTAGCGGACGTGGCCGACCGCAAAGCCGCCACCGCGTTTGCTTATTTCAGGCGGGACTTTCTTTCTCTCCATCCTATGTTCCCTTTGCAAAAGATGCAGGCTCTGGGCCGCCCTGTGGGAGGCGGCGGGACAGCGGAGGACCCTCACCTTCCACGCGCGCCACAGCGTGGCAGGAGCCCGGCGGCCGGCGACTGTCTTCCCCCCGAGTACGCCAGGACACCAGGGGGCCCGGCACCCCTACTCTACCCTGTAGGCTCGCAGCCTGGCTCTGAAAGTGGAACCTGCAGTATGAAATACTAAGCACGTCAACGCTTTTCCCAGTTCATTTTTTTTTTTCTGTGCTTTCCACCCTCCCTCCTGCTCCAGAATACCCTGCACTTACCACCTACGTGATCTGGAACAAGTTACTTTGTTTCTGCACCTCGGTTTTTTGACTTCTACGATTGGGATCATTATAATGCCTAACAGTGTTGCTGGGAGGATTAAACGAATTAATACAAGCCAAGCTCTTAGAACCGCGTGCGGCACGTGGGAAGCGCTCTATAAACGTCGGCCCTGAAACTGACGGTGCAGAGTCCTCTGAACTCGGTCCCGCGTGGGCCGGCGCGCCCCTACGGCTTTCCCCGGGGTGGTTTCGGCCGTGGCCCGCAGAGCTTGGGGAGAATTGGGTCCCTGCGCCTGTCCCAGCCCCAACCAAACTCCTGTGCTTTCAGGATTTGGTTAAGAATTGAGTTAGGCACGGAGCAGGGAGAAAGTACGAAAAGTCGGGGCAGGACCCCGGAGCCGCCGGCTTAAGCCGGGAGCGCGGCGGAGCGAAGCAGGTGCACGCGGGCTGGAGCGCGTGGCTGCCGCGGCGCCGGCCGCAGCCGGGGTCCTGAGTGCTGTCGCCTGTCTAGTTCTCCAAGAGGGGCCTGGTGGGCGGTGTCGGACTCAGCGCTGCTTCTCCAGGCCCCGGCCGCGCCACCCCCGCCGGCTCCATGCCCCGAATTGCTGGGGGTGCGGAGTGCTTTCTGCAGCTGGGCGCAGTGGCGACCCCGGTGTGGGAGAACGCCTTCCGCGAGGGGTGGCACCGAGGGCGGCGTCTAGAAGCTGCAGGTGGAAAGCAGGGAGGCAATTTCTGTTTTAGCGTCTTCTCTTCCATGTCCGACCCTTAGCCAGGTTCTTCCCCGGGTGGGACTTGTCTCCAAATTTTGCTTGGAAAAAGCAGGCGGTAAACGGTCGCGTTTCGGCGGTCGTCTTTTGCTTCGAGGCCGGCGCGGGCCTCTCCAGGACTCGCGAGGCGGCACAGGGCAGGGAAGGGCAGGCTGACCTCACCGTGGGCGAGACCGGCCCCGGCAGCGGCGGCCGCCGGGCGCGAGGCGCGAAACCTCAGGCAGCGCAGCCGCCGCCGGGCACCGCGGGCTTGGACGGCCTTCAGAAAGGGGTCCGGACGCGGCCGCTCCGCCGAGCGAGGAGGGCGGAGAGGGAGGGGAAGTGACCTCTTGAACCTCATCAAACGCAAATGTTATAAGAAGCTTGTTAAGGAAAGAAAAGCGGAAGGGCAGGGAAATGGAGAAACGTGGAGTCCACCTGAGGCTTGAATGGCCTTTTTAGAGTTCCAGGCCCCTGGGATTTGCAGACTTCTCTGCGGTAGACCGACTATTGGTGATGGACTTTGCATTTTCCCGCAGGAGGGTGAAGCTGCCGGCCGACTTCCTCCAATATGCATATTTTACATATATAAACACCTTTGCAGTTTTATAGCCATTTAAATAAACCATTCACATAAACTCTTAACTCTTAAAACGATCCGCACAAAATAGCTTTTATCTCAGATCATTTTCACTCTTCTTTTAATTACTGGCTTTTGTAGCTTGGGTTTTACCTCCAGGCTGGTGGCCAAAGTGTTTTTACGTCCAACTAGGCCGTCTCTTCTACGGTACCTTAGTACCGCAGTAACTTTCCCTATCAACATGGACACAGACTAGAGTCAACCTTTAATTTTCTCAGTTGGATGGGTAATCTATTTTTGGGAGAAGCAAATGTCCCCTTCGTTTGGTCCTTGTTGGTTCTTCGTTAGCGAGGGAGAATGCCGGTGGGGCCTTCAGCAGCAGCATCCTAACAGTGTTGCAGCGGTGACTAGTTTTTGGCTTTAAAAAAGACAGACCCGTCGGGCGCGGTGGCTCACGCCTGTAATCCCGGCACTTTGGGAGGCCGAGGCGGGCGGATCACGAGGTCAGGGGTTCGAGAGCAGCCTGGCAACACAGTGAAACCCCGTCTCTACTAAAAACACAAAAATTAGCCAGCATGGTGGCGCGCGCCTGTAATCCCAGCTACTCGTGAGGCTGAGGCAGGAGAATCGCTTGAATCCGGGAGGCGGAGGTTGTGGTGATCCGAGATGCCACCACTGCACTCCAGCCTGGGCAACAGAGAGAGACTCCGTCTCGAAAAATAAACAAATAAATAAATATAAATAAAAAAATAAAAAAGACTGACTTGCTTGATGAGCCAGATATTCACCTATTTAGTCTTCAAGTCTCTAGACCTATTATAAAATATGTCAAGCACCTGAGAAGCTGTGAGCGGTTACCATATGTCAGCTTTTCATTCAGCAGAAGGGGAGGGGGGCTCCTAAAGTTTTTTTTCTCCCTTGAAAGGGAAGGCTGTTTGGGGACCCGAAAATATAAACAAAACCTCCAGAAACCCATGTTTTGGAACAAAATGGGTGTGGAAAGCTAAGCAGGCCAGTTGGGCAGACAGGATTTGGGGATGGAGGCTGAGGGAGGCAGGGGACTCTGTAGAACCTGTGGGTAGCCGTGCCTGTCTGAGTGAGGGGACAGAATGACAGTCTGTGCTGGTGGCAGAGAAAGGGACAAGCGAAAGAGGCAAGGAGTGGCAGATTCTCTTTAGGAGAATTTTCCATCTGGAAAGAAGGTTTATGCATCCATCACCCATCTCTGGTAAGATGCTTGGTGTAGGTGGAAGGGCGTATGTTGGCATTGGCCTGAGGGAATCTGCCTTACTGAGCTCGGCTAAAAAGGAATTTAATAAACTTCTTTTGTTTTGTGGTTTCTACCTATGGAAAACTTTTCTGCAGTTGGAGGGCTCTCAGAAGAGATCCAAGACAGGAAACCTTTCCATTTGTAAATCAGTTACAAAAAATATGCAGTTGAGTTAAGCATTTTATGGCAATAGGAATTTAATAAAAAGGGAAAGAATATAGCTGTATAGAGTAGGTAAGCATGACTGGAGAATAAATTTATTCTTTTTGTTTGTTTCATTTTGTTTTTATTTGCTAACACCAGAATGTGTAATTTCATAGCAATGGAAAAATAATAAGCAATTTTGGGTGTCTCAAATTCATTATAATGTATTCCTGAACCCTTTCTAACTAGGATATTATTTTGAGGCCAAAACTGATTGATGTCTAGACTTTGGATGTCTCTACAAAGTGAGAATTGGAGCTGGCAGTGTCATAACACCACTTGAAAACATTTCTTCTGGCCTTTATTATTTGCACTTTTTCTTCAAGTTTTCATTCACTTTTCTAATTTTTTAAAACTCTCCTAGCACAATGACATAGCGCAATTCACTTTTATACCTTGAGTTAAAAGTGGAATTTCAATTGATGAAAATAGAGGAAATAAGGTTACTCAAATAATGCCAAGGAGTTCATATGCATCATTCAAGTTACCTTCAAGACTGCCATTTAAATGACTTCTTTTTTTTTTTAAGTAAGATTAATATATTTGTCTTTATAGTAACACCTTCAAAAATATGCGATTTTTAATATTTTGGGGATGAAGTGACCCATGAAGGCATAAGTGCCTTGGTCCATGAGAGTCATCATGAAGCCATGATTTATTTTTTGTTTTTCTTTATATAAATATAATCACATTACAAAAGTAGGATTCTTTCCCCATCTTTCCTTAGCCTATTTTTCTTATGTAACAAAATATCATAAATATTAACTAGTTTTTAAAGTTTTAAATATTACTTTGAGAATTTAATTTATTTTTAAAGATTCTAAATTTATTTTTCTTTTTATGTGATAACCTGCACAGCGTTTACTTGCTATTCACTGTTTTTTCTAGAAAACATAAACAACTTGGCAAATCTCCTATTAATCTTTTAAAGAGGAAGAGGTAGAAGTCACCCTTGCTCTTTGGAACTGAGAAAAGTGGAGTCATGGAAGATTGAAAGTCAACCCTAAGGCCAATGCAGTTTGACATTGTCATTAATCATGGGGAATTTGGAAAGAGGGCAGTATGCTGGAAGATAGGATATGAATGTAAATATCTTGCTACATCTGGAGAATTTTGCAGATGTTTGGTTCTTTGGTTTGCCTGACATTTCTTCTTTCTACTGGTGAGAGCATCTTCGTATCCTTAGAGAGAACTCTGTTTCTCCCATTCAGTGTTGTCCTAGTGTAGCCACACTGCTATGACACCCTAGACGTAGAGAGTCATGTGACCTATGCATGTCTATTCTACCTGTCCTCTGGCCACAGTACTTGGCCAAGTCTAGGCACAGGGTCACCCTCTGTCACATAGAGTGTTTCCCTGGGATTGTTAGTAAAGGCAATGAGAGAGAGGCTCACTCTTTTCCCTCTGGGATTATGAGCATTAAGGATACACACTTGGAACTGTGCATGGCCACATCATCACTCCTCTGGTTTCTAGGTGAAGCTCATGTACAATGGAAGACACTGGGGCCAGTGTACAGGAGGGAGCAGAGGACACAGACACGGGGTACTGACAACATTTTTGGAGGCTGGGGCTGACCTAGGCCCAGGAGTTCTCATTTTATCATCCAATTCCTTAGTCCCACAAATATTTTTTAAGCGCCTACTTGGCCAGGCACTGGTCTAAGTGCTGGGGAAACATTCAGAGAAAACAGTCAAGGTCTCCACTTTCAAAGCTTAAATTTGGGGGATTGGATAGACAACAAGCAAATATGCAAAAGCTTTCAGATAGAGAGAAGTGGTATGGGGACGGCAGTACCTAAGCAAGAAAGTCAGTCCATGATCATGGTAAATGAGGGTGATGTGATAGACAAATGGACATTGGGGGTGATCAGGAAAGCCTTCTCTGGGAAGACATTGGTCTGAGACTTGAGAATGGAGAGGAGCTAGCTATGGGAAGGTCAGAGGCAGAGGGAGCAGGACATGCAAAGGCCCTAAGAAATGCCATTGGGACATTCAAAGGACATCAGAGGACCAGAGAGCCTCCCCCATTGCCCTTCTCCACTCTAGATGCTGGTTGTTCAGAAAGAGAGAGTGTTGATACACAGTGACCATGTCTGACTCTTGGGCTCTTCTTTTCCTAGGCAGTCACCCCTGAAATACCCACCATTCTGTTACAGCCACAGTCGCTTGCTATGCTTTCCACAGCACCTGACTGTCTCCATTTCGACATGAGCCACTCAAATTTAAGTGGCACCCATTTGTAGATATGTTGACTTTTTCCGTTTCAGACACAGTCACATTATTGCTAAACTCTGTAGCCCCTGAAATCTGGCCATAGCATTAGTATACATATGCGACAGATTGGAGGAAATTCTTATAAAGTTTGGCAGTATCCAAACCGTGCTAGATAATGCATCCATGTCTGGAATTCAGCATCCTGGGGAAGGACCTGGAACCTTGCGTGATACAGAAGAGAACTGTGACTGATTAAAGGGACAAAGGAGGGCACTTATGATGAAAGCTTACAGGGTTGAGAAGCATTAGGTTTTGAGAAGGCTGAAGAGGGATTTTAGTTGTTGTCTGAGTTGGTGAAAGATTCATACCTCCCAAATCCAAAGTGGCTTGTTGAATTTTTAACCCACAGTGAAAGAGAATGAAGAGTATCAGGTAGGATGCTTTAGGCTGCAAGCAACAGAAATCCTTGCTTATGGAGGCAGGAACGCTAAGTCATCATCTCACGTAGCAGGAAGTCTTGGAGTTGGGCAAGTTTTGGAGTGGGTTGTGTTAGCAGCTCAGTGGTATCACAAAGGACTCAAATTCTTTCTAATTTTCTACTTTGATGGTTATAGAATCCATTTCATCCTAGAACTCATTTATGTTCTGGTTGTAAGATAGTGTCAGTGAAAGTATGTGATTTTGTTGTTTATATCCAAAAGGTTATAAATAGAAAAAAATTATATCCTTTATCAGTGGCATGAAGGTTCTCCTGTCTTTATTTTTTGGGGCCAGTTTAGATCCATGCTTCTCCCTGGACAAGCAACAGTCTCCAGGGAAAAGACACTTATAGATTACCTATGCCAATCATAGGCAAGTGCGGTGGAGCTGACTTGGGCTACTCAGGATGCTCCTGTGAAGGGGGGAATGGGGTTAACCTCCCCTAAATCACACGGTCTTAGGGTCTAACATGTCTCATGGGATTAATAAATGGAATCTGAGTCTTTAGGAAGGAAGGAGCATGCATCCATGCATGTCAAATAGACAGTGGTGGGTTGATATATTAGCATGAGGCATTTAGGGTGGAGATAAGGAAGAGTAATCTAATATAGATGACCTTGAATGTCAGAAAAACTCAGCATAAGAGGATGTGAAATCTCTTTCTTTAAGATGTTAGGATCCTATTTGTCTGAAATTATACGTCTGAAGTCTGATCCTGTCTGAACATGAGGGCCCAGTGGGGTAGGAGTAAAGGAGATTGCCTCCTAAAATTGCCATTAGAATTCCCTGTGGTGCTGGTTATACACAGATTCTAGAGCCTTACCTAAGAGATTGAGATGCAGTAGTTTTGGGTGAGGTCTAGGGCACTCTATTTTTAAACAGTGATTCATATGAGGCTGATGTAGCCTGTCAGCTGAACTCAATTTGGAAACCAGTGGTAATGAATACAGACTAGGCATATTTTTTTGAGCACATAAGAAATGCTCAAAAAAGTTGACCATGTACTAGGCTACAAAGGAATCTCAATAAATTCCAAAGAATTAACATGATATGAACTACCTTTACTCATCACAGTGCAATAAATTTAGATGCTTATTACAAGGACATAAAAATAACAGCCTAAAAACACATTTGGGAGCACTCCTCCTCCATCAAAAAGCCCCCAAATTATGAAATAACAATTGAGTTAACAAGCTTATCACAAGGGAAATTAAGAGCTGCTGACACAGAAAACACATCATGTCAAAGTGCAGCTAAAGCCTTACTTCAAGGGAAATTTATAGCTTTGAAACCAATGATCAGAAATTAAGAAAAATTGATGACAAAGAAGCTAATATTAAATTCAGAAGGTAGAACAAAGACAGCAGAACAAACCCAAAGAAACAATGTGTTAATCTGAGTTCCTACTTAAAAGCAACAGAGCCCATACTGGCTAGATTCAGCAGAAAATTTACTTATTAAAGGACAAAGATGCTCTGATTCTTTAGGAGGACCATAGAGTCAGTTTTCAAGTCTGCATCACCAGGAATAACACCAAACTTGACCACAAAACAGCTGCAGAAATATCCCTCTATAGTCATTGCCACCACCAAGCACCATGAACACTGGCTGTCAGTGCCAGGGCCCCTAAGCTCACCCTGGCCAGCATGGAGATTCCACATGCCAGGGATGGTGCCTGCCTCCTCATGCTGCTTTCTTTCGAGCAGATGTCTCACATGGATGGGTCTGATTGGCAGAGTCTAGGTTGCATGTGTGAATTCTAATTGCAGGAGGTTGGGAAGGTGAGTTTCTGGGTTCCACTTTGGGAGACAGAACTCTTTATGTAGAAAATTCCCAAGACAGTGGGGAGGTGGTAGGGGTGCGTGGCTAATGTCTTCTGCATTCAAGAAGGAAGGATGTAATAAAGATAAGGACAGAAATAAATGACATGGATAACCTCCCTCTGTATTATTGAGATAATTATTTACAAAACCAAAAGATTTTTTGAAAAGAATCCTTAGATACACCTCTGTGAGACTTAACAAAAGTGTGTTATTACACACATGCACACACAGGAAATTGACAGAGGATTTATAATTTATAACTAGGAATTCTTTACTCAGAATTCAAAGTGCTGGTATAGAGACAGTGACTGGGCAAATCTGCCGTAGATGCCTGCCCTTGGCTGTTCTGGGGAGAAGAAAGGCTCTGCCGCCCTGGTTTCTGGGTGGGCCGGCACTGCCTTCCTACGACTGCACACAATAGGAAGTACCTCGGTGGGGTCATCAACAAGTAGCAAGTATCCAGTACCTGGAGTGTGAGTTATGTCATTGATTTATGTGCTTTCCAATATGTCATTACTATAAAAAAGCTTCGATAAACATCTTTGTCATCTTTTTGTTTCTTAGACATGAAATTACTGGATCAACAGATGTGAATGATTTTAAGGCTTTTGATTAAACTGTCAAATTTCTTTCTCCAACAATGGTAACAATTTCCAGCCTCGCTAGCCCTGATATGAGAGGACCCAACTCCCTGCATCCTTTCCGGCTTTGATTATTTCATAACAGAGGTAGTATCTCATTGTTGTTTTAGTTTAAATTTTTAAGAATGCCCAAGGATAAGCAATCATCTATATATAATCTAAGCTAATATTCACAACATTTTATAAGGTAGATATCATAATCTCCATCTCACAAATGAAAAAATTGAAGGTTAAAAAAGATGAAACTACCTTCTCTCAGTCCTTTAGTCAGGAGAGGATGTAGATTTAAATCCTGGTTTTTGTGACTCTAAAGCCCTTGTTCTTAACTACAACCTTTGTTCACAGAAGATAGGTATATTTGACTAAATACATAGATGAAAATATCTGAAGATCAAAAACAGATGTAGCTGGAGTTTCCCAAAGAGTGTTCCAAGGAACATGAGACTTTTAATATTCTCTGGGACAAAAATCAATTCAATGTTGAAAAAGTTGGGAAACACTGGATAACATTTCCCCTCTTGGAGACTCGTAGCAAATGTTGGGATATTTAAGGCCTTGAGAAGTCTTACAGCAAAGAAACGGTTTGACTCTATTTAACATTCCAGAAAAGTAGTGTTCCAAAGAATATGTTTTGGGAGGTTCTGCCAAGAACTGTGCCTCTTATTTTTCTTTCATGTATTATTGCATTGGCCCAGACAGTGGTAAATGATATTGGTGACAGTAGGTATTTTATTGTCCCTTGATTTGATGAGAATGTTCCTAATATTTCATCGTTAAGTATTATTTTGGCTGCTAGTTTAAGATAGACACAGATATTATTTATTATCTCAAATAAGAATACTTTATTTCCTATTTTCTTGCTTAAAGAAGCAGAAATGGATGATGAATATGAAGGAATCAGCTTATCAAACAAAGGGGAAAATCCAGTGGTAGGCTATTCGTTCAGTAAATAGACAGTATTTTTGATGGACTAGGGATAATTTCCAATGCTCCTTCAAAAACACTGCTGATGGCTGGGGAAAAGCACTTGCATTTTCTCCCAGAAGGGTAGTATTTTTTATCAAAGATGGGGATCTCACTCTGCCCGCCGGGTTGGAGTGCAGTCACACAATCATAAATCACTGCATCCTCAAAATCCTGGGCTCAAGTGATCCTCCTGCCTCAGCCTCTTAAGTTGCCAAGATTACTGGTGTGTGCAATCATGCCTGTCTTAGAAGGGTGGTATTTGGATGTCTTTGTCACTGATATGGTTTGGCTGTATCCCCACCCAAATCTCATCTTGAATTCCCACATGTTGTGGGAGGGACCTGGTGTGAGGCAATTGAATTGTGGGGGCAAGTCCTTCTTGTGCTGTTCTCCTGATAGTGAATAAGTCTCACGAGATCTGATGGCTTCATAAGGGGGAGTTTCCCTGCACAAGTGCTGTCTCTTTGCCTGTTGCCATCCATGTAAGATGTGACTTGCTCCTCCTTGTCTTCTGCCATGATTGCAAGGCTTCCCCCACCATGTGGAACTGTAAGTCCATTAAACCTCTTTCTTTGTAAATTGCCCAGTCTTGGGTGTGTCTTTATCAGCAGCATGAAAATGGACTAATACAGTCAGCTTTACTTTAGGCTGGAGAATAGGGGTGGCATTTCTTTTTTCATCATTCATTCAGCAAATATGTTTTGAGTGCCTGCGGGGTGCCAGGCCCAGTTTTGGGTTCTGTGTCTCTAACACACTGCATGGTGGTGCCTAATAGATAATGTTAGTTGAAACCAAGTTTTAAAGAGTTGGCCTTGATGAGGGGCTATTTGCCTGCTCCCATACCAAGAGGACTAATAATGTGGGGATGTTCTGCCTCTGCTCCCTTCCTTTCTTACCCTTCTCTCTCCTCCTCCCCCTTCTCACCTTAGCCATGTTGAGTGTCTGCTGGGCACAGCCATGGGGCTGTGGAAAAGCATCTTTCCCTTAAAGATGTACCCTTCAACTTGGGCCAACCCTGGCTTAGATATGGCATAAGTACTCAAAATAGAACGAGCCCAGGAGTTTTTACTACTCTGGACACAGGACTTTGCTTTCAGCCAGAAAAGTCCTTGGAGATGGACTTGGTGGTCCTTGGGGGGAACTGCCCAATGAATGATTGCATTGAAGCTTTGGAAACCATTTTTTCTCCAACAATTTCCTTGTCTACAAGTTTATGAGGCAGTAAATAGCCCCTGTGTGCGTAATGAATTCTGACATCATAGTCCACGGCACTTAAAAACAGCGGGCTGGCCTGCGCTTTTATTGGCAGCACAGCCTGAGGCGGAAAACTACCCCAGCTCGTCCCAGTATTCTATTATAGACCTTACTATAAAACCTCCTCTGGCGTTCCCAGTCGTCAGCAAAGATGCTTTTTCAGGGTGCAAGTAATTTCCTCTCCCCATTCCTTGAGGACTGTCAGAATGCGATGCAGTCAGATTATGCAAAGCCTGGGTCGTCCTCAGTTTTTTGACCGTGGGTGCAAAACATGGTTTTCAGGAGACCTGGGTAGTCATCTACAGAGGGTGACAGAATATGAGCAAGTTTCTCAGATCTCTGTGGCAACGCCTGGTGACTTCTACCTTCCTTCTCGCCATTCGTCCTGACCTGGAACCTGTGAAGTTTTGGCAATTTCATTTGAGTGAGTGAAGCAAATATATTGAAAAATAGGTGAGGGAGGAGGGGCTGGAAATTGAGGATGAAGTATTAGTTCTTCATGTGTCTCCTTTGGTCAAGTTGAAAAGATTTCAAAGAAACTAAGACAGAAAAGTAATAATTTTCCTGTGAGTGGAGAAAACTTCATTTTAGAAGCAATAGTAAGGAAGGCACAGAGAGGGCTTGTGTGTTCTGATTTTTACCATGGAGGTTCGTTTTCCTGTCCCTGAGGGTCCCTGGCACATGGATGGAGAGAGCTGATGATGGGTTACAGTTTATGACAGTGAGTCTTATTGGTATCTATGAGGCATTCACGATCCATCTGGCTTAATTGTTATAACTTAAGGGGGATCGGGGGATTGTTTTATGGCTCCACTGCACGGGGTGGACCATCGGTCACAAAATGTCTAACAATTACCAATGAACTGCTTACAATATAAGCATTGGTTTATTGTGGATTGAGCATAAATTTTCCTTTTTTCTCTTCTCCAACTCGAGAGAGCTTCTCATTTAAAATATTATCCAGAAGGTCCGTGTTTCAATTCCAAGATTGTACTGTCTTCCTCTTAAACTAGAAGATGTGGCTGGGCAGGGCGGCTCATGCCTGCAAATCCCGGCACTTTGGGAGGCTGAGCGGGGAGGATCACTCGAGTCCAGGAGTCTGAGACAAGCCTGGGCAACATGGCCACATCCCGTCTCTACAAAGCATTTAAAAAAGCCGGGCGTGATGGCGTGTGTCTGTAGTCCCAGCTACTTGGGAGGCTGAGGTAAGAAGATCACTTGAGCCTGGACAGTTGAGGCTGCTGTGAGCCAAGGTTGTGCCACTGTACTCCAGCCTGGGTGGCAGAGACCCTGTCTCAAAAATAAATGAGAAATAAATGAATAAAAGAGAAATAAAATGGAAGATGTCTGCCCTAGGGTCCATCCTTTAAGGAGACTGCTGTGAGTGGAGGATCACCCTTTAAGGAGACCTCGGTGAGGTGTGGATGGGTGGTAGGTTACTCAGGACACACTTTCATCAGAAGTGGAAGGGATGGGGATGGGCATTGGAACCTTGGGATGCTCTCTCCCTGCAGTGGATTGAGCATCTGTGGGTTGGCCTGGGCTGGGCCCTGTCTTGTGCGCCTGGTCTTCTCAGAGATGAAACTTCTAGGGTGAGGGGTCACTGGTGTTGGGCTGCCACCACCCACAGGACAGCCTGGAGGGGTCTGCTCCCTCTTTTGGTCTTTAGTATTTGGCAACTGATGACACAGCCAATGCTTTTTCATCTAGTCATCTCTGTTCTCTGGACACTGTCACTTTTGCTTCAGATCTCTCTCGTGTAAAAAGCTTCTTTAAAAAACTCTTAGGTTTTCCTGTTTTGATTTTGAGAGAACACTGCTTCTTCAGGCTTGTTATTCCAAGGCCTAGATCTGGCTTCCTTACTTTGGTATAGATATTAATACCTTGATGAAAGTTTGCTAATTTCCTTATTTAATTTTATTTATTTTTAGGGACGGTATCCCTCTATCACCCAGGCTGGAGTGCAGTGGCACGATCCTAGCTCACCTCAGCCTCAACCTCCTAGGCTCAAGTGATTCTCCTGCCTCAGCCTCATGAGTAGCTGGGGACTCCAAGTGTGCACAACCCTGCCCAGATAATCTTTAATTTTTTTTTTGTAGAGATGGGGGCCTTACTATGCTGCCCAGGCTGGTCTTGAATTCCTGGCCTCAAGTGATCCCTCTGTCTTGGCCTCTGAAAGTACTAGGGTTACAGGCGTAAGCCACCATGCTTTGCTATTTTCCTTATTTTAAAAAAATTCCTCTGTCCCTGGGACAAAGAGAGAAGTAAAACAAACAAACAAGTCAAAGTTTTTGTGCTTTTCTAGGTCATCACAATTTGAATGTGGAAACAAAATTCTGAAATACTTTTTGTTTTGAATGAAATTCAGAATGGAGGGGCATCTTGCATCTGCCTTTTCATACAGCCAAAGGAGGGTTCTAGGAAAAGTCCACACATGCTTGATTTTTGCCTCCGTTTTTATCTGGATCTTTGCCTTCTGTGGTCTGCACTATGAGCTATGACAGTCTTCTTTCTCTGAGGTGTCTCCTTACTTGGGAAGGGCCTGCAAGCTCCATAATAGTTTTCTTTGCATGATTTCCTGCAGTGGTTGAGCATGTAGCAAACAATCTCGATGCTCCCCTATGCTTTTGAGGTGAAATTTAACTCGAGGTTCGTCTGTGTCCTGGAGACCGGTTGCTCTGCGTTAGCTGTGTGTGTGGCATTCCCTGCACTTCAGAGCCACGGTGCTGAGCTGTCTTCCATAGTGACTTACATAGCACAGGTAAATTACCCAACAGGACTTCAGAACCAGAGCAGACCCATGAAGGCAGGGATTTGAAATACCTGGGCTTTTGACTTAGTTCCTGAGATAGGAAAGCCTTCTTTTTCCTTTGCGAGTTTCTTTTCCCTTTTACTTTTTCCAAGTTTCATTGTTGCCGAATAGGTTATCTGTAGGTCAGTGGGTTTACGGGTTGTTTGGATTTCCTAAAATTGTGTTTTTCCCTAAATGTGGCACGAGAGATTGTTTGCAGGCTGCTGTGTGAATGGGATGGCCTACTGTGGCCGACACAATGCTGCTATTTCTGTTTTTCTCTGTTGCCCCCAGTGAAGGTATTTTAAGGCTCCCGGTATTTAAGAAGACTAAAACCAGCAGAGAAAAATCCTGGACTTCTTCAGTTTCCTGCCAATTCTGCAGAGTTCAGAACAACTTTTATTTATTTATTTTTTAAAGGAATTTTTTCCATGACATTCAAGAAGCCAGCTACATTTTGCAATACTTTTCTTTCTGATGAATAATTTTCCAGATACAGCGTGCGGATGAATTTTGGTTTAGATACGCAGGCCGTATAACTCCAGATGCAAATGCAGATGTTTATGAGTTCATGGAATGGAAGATATAAATGTCCTGACTTTGCTGTATGCCTTGAGAAGCATCCCTTTTTCTATTTAGAGAGGGAGAGAAAAAAAACCAACAACCCAGATTTGCTTAGTTTCCTGCTTTAAACATTTACGCTTTAAAGGAGCTTATTTACATAATAAATGATATTGCTCGAGAGCATATGTGGGGAAATTTTGACCAAAAACTCTTTTCCTTTAATCTGCACATGCCGTGGTTTGTGGAAGTGTGTGTTCACATGCAGAATCACTTATCAGTATGGAAGGCTTGAGGCCATGGACAGCACAGTTTAAGATAAACTTGACTCAGCAACATGGGAAAGTATTATTCATTCTGAAAATCATACTTCAAAAGTTTATTTAGTTCTCTTACCTTAACAGAGGTAAAGACATTAAGTAAATTCGTAGAATTATTTTGAGTTACCACTCAGAAAATAATTTAAAACTTAATAACTGCATCGTGTAACAGTCTTTGGATCCAATTATTTGGGATACTTTGTATGAGAATAAATGACTGTTTCTTGCTATAAAATATAGAATGGAGTCACTTGAATAGGATTCTTAGGTTGTAATATTTTTATGTTTGTGATGCTGATGGATCTACAAGTGAACATTCATAAAACTTTCATCTTTTCAACAAATATTTATGGAACCATTGCTACATGCCAGAAATATTTGCCAAGGCCTGTTGATTCATGGGTGAACAAGGCTGATAATGTTTGCTGCCCAGTCTTCCCTGAGAAAATGTAAGAGAACACTGAAGGATACAGGAAAGATAATGTTAGGGGTTGGATTTGGCCTCCCCAGAGCTCATATGTTGAAGCCCTAACCTTCAGGACCTCAGGATGTGACGGTATTTAGAGATAGAGTCTTAAAAGAGGCAATTAAGTTAAAATGAGGCCTTTGGGTGAGCCCTAATCCAATTTAGACGCTGTCCTTAAAAGGAGAAGAAATGAGGACACAGACACACTAAGAGGGAAGGTCATTTGAAGACACAGAGAGAAGACGCCATCTGCAAGCCAAGGAGAGGAGCACCAGGAGAAACCAACCCTGCCCACCTCTTGGTATCAGACTTCCAGCCTCCAGGACTGTGAGAGGATAAATGCTTGTTGTCTAAGCCCCCAGTGTCTGATATTTGTTACGGAAGCCGGAGCACACGAATCCAGATAGAAAGCTGGCTAATAAGATAGAAAGAGGAATACTGCTTAAGGAGACTGGGTGGAATGACTGCTCACTGTCCTATGCCAATAAATTGCAGAATTTTAAAAAAGTATGTGTAGAGTAAATGCTAATGCTTGATGACTGTGCCTATAATAAGTGACGCAGACATGTTACTACTGCTTTTCTGCTATGCCTGTTAATATTAGTATTTGCAAAACTCCTGAAGCATGGGGATGACGCCATCTGCTGGACCGTATCCTGCTCCCACGCGTGAGGGCAGAGGGTACAGGAGGTGCTTGATATTGATTCTACACTAAATCATTCTTAAAACTTCAGGAGTCTGTCGTGAGCCATGGGAAGTTGTTTTCAAGTAAGGGGAAATGGAAGTTTTGTATTATGAACACCGTCCACATCATCTCTTTTATCTGGGAAGAAGCTGAGGTTCTGCTTTGCAGTCACATTTTTGTCCATCGTAAGTGGATAAATGTGGTTTGCATCATTCAGTGCCTTGGGAATGTCTTACGGGATATTTCTGGAATGGGCAAAGTTCAGCACAGTCTGGAGCCAAAATGTCCCCATTATTGAGCCAATATAGTTCAAATGTTTATGACCCATCTCCAGAATGGCGTGCACATGTGAAGGGTTGTCAGTGAGGTGGAACATGTCCCCAGGAACGGAGAGAAAGCTGCGGAGAAGCAAGCGTGCCATGTGGCTGCCTCGAATGTCCTTTCTGGTTTGGAAGCCTGCAGCTGCAGAAGGCCTGTGAGTGTGGAGGAGGCTCTTCCTGGTAAAAACGCACCTCCCAACCCTGGTTGGAAGCCCCAAGGCTGTGGGAAAGCCCAGGCTCCCTGGGCCTTGATTTTTTTTTTTTTTTTTCTTCCTGGATTCTGCCTTCAAGATCAAAGGAAGTCATCTAGAGTAGTGTTCTCATGATGTGGTGTGTGGATCCCTGGGGTCTCCATGACCCTCTCAGGGGTCTGTGAGGTTGAAACTATTTCATAATAATACTAAGACAGTATTTCCTCTTTTCACCATCACTCTCACAAGAGAGTGCCCTAGGGTTTTCCAGAGGCTACGATACATGGCGTGTGAAGATATTGCACAATGGCTGGTGAAACATGGGCTTGTGTGTTCTTATGTCCTCCAGAACCTTCTCAGTTAGTAGGGTTGATGTGTTCGGGGCACATTTTCAGAGATGAACTCAGCTTGTTCTTAGTTCCTCCACTGCGTTCTTGCTGTCTGTCTTCCCTGTGTCTACTATCATGTTTATAAATTGTTATATTGAAGTCCCAACAGTTTCTCTGCAACTGTGCAGAAATATGACAAAAAGTAAGTACGGTTTTTGTCTTGTTTCAATAGCATTCTCCTATTTTTTCTGAACCCTTTTATAAATTTTATAATTCTGTCTAAAACTGTTACAATTCTAGAATCTAATATCTTATTCTAAAATAAAATGAAATTTATTTGTAACACGTTTTGTTATATTTAAGGATGGGTCATGGACTTTCCAAAGGGACATTAGAAGATTTGCTTTCTCAGCGTGCAGCATCTCATGTGTAAAGGCGCCGAAAAGGACAGAATTGCTGTATCAGAGCATTCTCTCAGTCATGAAAGGAGAAGTCTAATCCCAAGAAACTGTGTGAAATTGTAAATGGCAACGAAAATGTGATGGTCATCAGCTCTATAGACGTTAGGAATTTACCTTATGGTGTCTTACGCAACAGAAAAAATTCCAAATTGTATTATGGTGCTAGTTAAATTGTGACATTATTTTTGGACAAAACATTCAGAGTTTAAGGAAAAAGGGAGTTGAGTATTTTAAACATAGACTTGATGAGCTCCTTAAAAACCCCAAAATTGTTACAGCTTTCCAAACTAGACATGAAAGAACCGCGGAAGCATCTTACGGAGTAAGTTATCATGTTCATAGGCTGGGTAAGAACACAACAGCCGAGCGAAGAGTGAAGCCCTGTAGAGCTGGCTTTGCTGAATGTCTACTGGCCGCAAAATCAGCAAAGAAGTCATGGCACTGCCACTGTCCATCAATACTATGGCCTGTTGAATGAAAGCCTCAGCTGCAAACATGAAGACTGTATTCCTATCTTGTCTGCACAATTGTACTTTTGGCTTATAAATGGAGGCTGGACTTACTGCTTATCTTTTTTTTTTTAGATGGGGTTTCACCATATTGGTCAAGCTGGTCTTGAACTCCTGACCTCAGGTGATCCACCGACTTCGGCATCCCAAAATGTTGAGATTACAGGTGTGAGCCGCTGCGTCCAGCCAAATTTCCTTCTGTTTTTTTTTTTTTATTATACTTTTAAGTTCTAGGGTACATGTGCACAACATGCAGGTTTGTTACATATGTATACATGTGCCATGTTGGTGTGCTGCACCCATTAACTCGTCATTGACATTAGGTATATCTCCTAATGCTATCCCTCCCCCCTCCCCCCACCCACGACAGGCCCCAGTGTGTGATGTTCCCCACCCTGTGTCCAAGTGTTCTCGTTATTCAATTCCCACCTATGAGTGAGGACATGTGGTGTTTGGTTTTCTGTCCTTGGGGTAGTTTGCTCAGAATAATGGTTTCCAGCTTCATCCATGTCCCTGCAATGGACATGAACTCATCCTTTTTTATGGCTGCATAGTATTCCATAATGTATATGTGCCACATTTTCTTAATCCAGTCTATCATTGATGGACATTTAGGTTGGTCCCAAGTCTTTGCTATTGTGAATAGTGCTGCAGTGAACATACATGTGCGTTTTCTTGTATTCATCTCGTATCAGATAAATGATTCATCAAAGGAGGCTCTTTGATGGGAATGACACATGGTGCTGAAATAGTCCAAGTGATGAATAACTTTTCAGATGTCTTTTATTCTGTGTTGACATTTACACCGCTGTGCATGTGCGCTGGTGGGTCAAACAGCTGTTGTCTCACCGCACATTGAGGCAGTGATACCTAACTGTACTGTACCTGTCACCACTGTGTTCTTTGCTTCTTTGCTGTCACACACTCCCAGTCAAAAAAAGTCGGCTTTCCTGAAGAATGTCTTGGTGAAGAGGTAGAAACCATTAATTTTGTAAAATGTTGGCCCTTGGTTATGTGTCTTTTGAGTACTCTGGGTGATAAGGTGGGAAGTATATATCAATCCCTTCTGCTGCATATTCAATTACAGTGGTCGCTTTGAACAAAGCATGCATATGGTTATTTAAATTGCCAGCTGAATTTATTGCTTGTTTCATGGAACACCATTTTGACTTGAAAGGAGGACTGAAAAACTGTGGTTGTTCTGACTGAGGTGTTTGGTGGCTTTTTCTTTAAAATAAATGAAGTGAGCTTGTTGCTTCAAGGGAAACAATAGCTGACAGTATTTGTTGCCAAGGTAAAATATGGGCTTCCTAGTAAAAGTTAGAATTTTGGAAAACCTGGACCAGGAGTGGCGACTCATGCCTGTAACCCCAGTACTTTTGGGAGGCTGAGGTGGAGGATTACTTGGGGCCAGGAATTCAAGACCAGATTGGGCAACATAAGGAGACTTCATTTCTACAAAAAAGAAGAAAGAAATGAGTCAGGAGTGGCCGTTCTTACCTTTAGGCTTAGCTACTCCGGAGGCTGAGGCGGGAGGATGCCTTGAGCCCTGGAATTCAAGGTTGCAGTGAGCTATGATGGTTCCTGGGCAACAGAAGGAGACGGCCTCTAAAAGAAAAAAAGAAAAAGAGAACTTGTATCTCCCACTGTGAGCTTGACAGATTCCTAAAATCTTAAAGAATTTTCAGCCAAAATCAGTGCTGATATTAACAAATATTACTGAAAAAAATTTTGTGTTAAATAAAATGTGTTAAATTTAGAAAATCTGTGTGCTTCAGTGAACCAATTTTTCCAAGACATGCATGTTACAAAATCATGCAAGATTGACAAGTAAATTTTTATGTAACAGAGTTAAAAACTTCATGATATGGTTTCAGATTCCACATGGTAACTAATCTTTAAGAAATTTCCACTTGTCAAGTTTTGATGTAGTATCAAAGAATATCCACAAGTATCTGAAAAGGCAATAGAAACACCCCACTCCACCACCTTTCCAAATACATATCTGTGTGAAGTTGGGTTTTTTTTTAATATACCTGAAGCAAAACAACACATTGCGGCAGGTTAAATGCAATACAGTTATGACAATGTATCTTCCATCAAGCCAGACAGTAAAAAGATTTGCAAAAATATCAAACAATGCCACCTTTCTCACAAATTTGTCTTTAGAAAATGTATTTTCCATAAAATATTGTATTTATGTTAATATGTAATGAATTTATTTTTGTTATTTTAACATAGGCTTATTAATAAATGCTTAAAAACAGTTTTAATTTCAAATACAGTAAAAATGGGTAGGTATAAACCACCTACATAAAAGGTCTCTGAGGTCCTCAGTTTTTCTTTTTTTTTTGAGATGGAGTCTCACTCTGACACCCAGGCTGGAGTCTAGTGGTGTGATCTGCAAACTCTGCCTTTGGGTTCAAGCGATTCTCCTGCCTCAGCCTCCCAAGTAGCTGGGATTACAAGCACACACTACCGTGCCTGGCTAATTTTTGTATTTTTAGTAGAGACAGGGTTTCACCATGTTGGCCAGGCTGGTCTCGAACTCCTGACCTCAAGTGATCCACCCGCCTCAGCCTTGGATTACAGATGTGAGCCACCGCACCTGGTGGCATCCTCAGTTTTTAAGGGTGCAGAGAGGTCTTGAGATTTAAAAAAAAATTGGGAGAAACACTGCTCTAGAATTTTGACTAGACCAGACCAAGTCTAGCCATGATAATTTCAGGAAATTGATTTATCTTTGAGCAATCTCTAACTTGTCTTGACCCAAACCGGTCAATTCAATTCAATGAGTGTATGTGATATCTACTAAGTTCCCATCATGGTAACTGATGATACAAAGCCAGAAGTTTGAATTTAAATTTTAAGGAGCTATGAAAAAGGGAGAGTGGCCCTTGGATCTCAAGAGAGAACAGCTGACCACTTTAAGAATTTCAGGTGCAGCACACGTGGGCACACATTCAGGCAGGTCCACGTACTGGTAGTGGTGACAGGAGGACTTCCTTTTTGGAAGGCTTCTATTTTACAGTGAGAGTGAAGAGCTGGGTATGGAGGTTTAAGAAAAGAATAGGTATGAAGTGGTCTTATTTCTTGTTTTTTCAAATTACTCAACCCATATTGTGTTGATCTAAATGGACATTTCAAGATACAGATACTGTAAACAAAAAGGGCACAAAATCTGTAATGCATTAGCTAGATAAAGGGTTAATACATCCAGTGTATGAAGAGCTCTCACACATCATTAAGAAAAAGACAAAAACCTAATAGAAAAATAGGCAAAGAATACGATTTGGGAATTCATAGTTGGAGAAATCCAGATTATACATAAATACGAAAAGAAGTGCAATGAAAGAGGGAAATGCAGTTTAAGTAATAATGATATTGTTTTCACCCATATGCTTGGCAAAAATTAAACACTGTGGGACAGACAGAATTCAGAGAAATAAAATTTTCAATAGACTTTTGTTGTGAGTGTGAATTGGAATATCACTTTTGGAAAATAACCTTGCAATATCTAAAATTCAGGGAAAAAAACGCCTTAGAACTTTGACACAGCCATCTCACATTTGGGAATATATCCTTGAGAAAGAAAATCTCCAATTTATAACAATACATGTACAAAAGTGTTTATTTCTGCATTTTTCCTTTTATTGAGATACAGTTCACATTCCATAGAATTCACCCATTTAGAATATACATTTATATATTATATAAATGTATTTAGAATATACATTTATATATTATATAAATGTATTTAGAATATACATTTATATGTTATATAAATGTATTTAGAATATACATTTATATGTTATATAAATGTATTTAGAATATACATTTATATGTTATATAAATGTATTTAGAATATACATTTATATGTTATATAAATGTATTTAGAATATACATTTATATGTTATATAAATGTATTTAGAATATACATTTATATGTTATATAGATGTATTTAGAATATACATTTATATGTTATATAGATGTATTTAGAATATACATTTATATGTTATATAGATGTATTTAGAATATACATTTATATGTTATATAGATGTATTTAGAATATACATTTATATGTTATATAGATGTATTTAGAATATACATTTATATGTTATATAGATGTATTTAGAATATACATTTATATGTTATATAGATGTATTTAGAATATACATTTATATGTTATATAGATGTATTTAGAATATACATTTATATGTTATATAGATGTATTTAGAATATACATTTATATGTTATATAGATGTATTTAGAATATACATTTATATGTTATATAGATGTATTTAGAATATACATTTATATGTTATATAGATGTATTTAGAATATACATTTATATGTTATATAGATGTATTTAGAATATACATTTATATGTTATATAGATGTATTTAGAATATACATTTATATGTTATATAGATGTATTTAGAATATACATTTATATGTTATATAGATGTATTTAGAATATACATTTATATGTTATATAGATGTATTTAGAATATACATTTATATGTTATATAGATGTATTTAGAATATACATTTATATATTATAGTCTTACAATAAAGTAAGCTACAGAAAAGAAAACGTTATTAAGAAAAGCATAAGGAAGAGAATAAATGTTTCCTATTCATTACCTGAAAGTGTATCATTATAAAGGTTGTCACTCTCATCATCTTCATGTTGTGTAGGTTGAAAAGGAGGAAGAGGAGGGATTGGTCTTGCTGTCCTGGGGTGACAGAGCTGGAAGTAAGTGAACCTGCTCAGTTCAAACCCGTATTGTTCACAGGCCAACTGTATTCACAAAGGTGTGCAACCACCATTACTATATAATTCCAGAACATTTTCTTTTTTATTTTATTTTATTTTTGTTTTTTGAGACAGATTTTTGCTATTGTTTCCCAGGATGGAGTGCAATGGCTCGATCTTGGCTGACGGCAACCTCCACCTCCCGGGTTCAAGCGATTCTCCTGTCTCAGCCTCCCAAGTAGCTGAGATTACAGGCATGTGCCACCATGCCCAGCTAATTTCTGTATTTTTAGTAGAGATGGGATTTCTCCATGTTGGTCAGGCTGGTCTCAAACTCCCGACCTCAGGTGATCCGCCCACCTTGGCCTCCCAAAGTGCTAGGATTACAGGCATGAGCCACCGCGCCCGGCCCAGAACATTTTCATAACCCCAGAAAGAAACTCTGTACCCATTAGCAATAATTTCTCATTTCCCCCTGCCTCCGGCCTCTGGAAGCCACTAACTGACTTTCTGTCTCTATGGATTTGCCTATACCAGACATTTCATTTAAATGGAATTAAACAATATTTGGCACTTTATGTCTGGCTTCCTTCATGTGGTATAATATTTTCAGGGTTCATTCATGTTGCAGTGTGTGTTGGTACTTAATTCTTTTTTTTTTTTTTTGAGATAGAGTCTCGCTCTGTCACCCAGGCTGGAGTGCTGTGGCATGACCTTGGCTCAGTGCAACCTCTGCCTCCTGGGTTCAAGGGATTCTCCTGCCTTAGCCTCCCACGTAGGTGGGATTACAGGCACACGTCACCACGCCTGGCTAGTTTTTATATTTTTAGTAGAGACAAGGTTTCACCATATTGGCCAGCTGACCTCAGATGATCTGCCTGCCTCGGCCTCCCAAAGTGTTGGGATTACAGGCCTGAGCCACCATGCCTGGCCTTAAACTTCATTCTTTTTTTTTTTTTGGTGGGGGGGGATGGAGTCTCGCTCTGTCACCCAGGCTGGAATGCAGTGGTGCGCTCTCGGCTCACTGCTACCTCTGCCTCCCTGGTTCAAGCAATTCCCATACCTCAGCCTCCTGAGTAGCTGGGATTACAGGCGTGCACCACCATGCCTGGCTAATTTTTGTATTTTTAGTAGAGATGGGTTTTCACCATGTTGGCCAGGCTGGTCTCGAACTCCTGACCTCAGGTGATCCGCCCACCTCGGCCTCCCAAAGTGCTGGGATTACAGGCATGAGCCACCATGCCTGGCCCTACTTCCTTCTTTTTAATGGCCAAATACTATTCCATTTTATAGAAGTATCACATTTTGTTTGTTTATCAGTTGATAGATATTTGAGTTGTTTCTACCTTTTAGCTATAATAAATAACGCTGCTATGAATACTTGTGTGCAAGCATTTGTGTGGACACGTTTCCAACTCCCTTGGGTATATACTTAGAAGTGGAATTGTTCAGTCACCTGGTAACTCCATGTGTAACATTTTGAGGAACTGTGAAAACTGTTTTCCAAAGTGGCTGTCCCCCCAGCAACGTATGAGTGTTCCATTTCTCCATAGCTTATCAACACTTGTTATTGTCTGTCTTTTTTATTCTAGCCTTCCTAGTGGGTATAAAGTGTGGTTTTGATTTGCATCTCTCTAATGACTAGTAATATGGAACATCCTTTTATGTACTTATTTACTATTGTATATATTTGGATAAATGTCTATCCAAATACCTTGCCTATTTTAAAAATGGTTTTTTAAAATTATTGAGTTGTAAGACTTCATTATATATTCTGTGTAGAAGTTCTTTATCAGGTATATCATTTCTGGATATTTTCTTCCATTTTGTGGGCTATCTCCCTTCCCTTCCCTTCCCTTCCCCCTCCCCTTTCCTACCCTCGCCTCCCCTCCCCTCCCTTCCCTCTCTTCCTTTCCTTTCCTTTTTCCTTCCTTCCTTCCTTCCTTCCCTCCCTCCCTCCCTCCCTCCTTCCTTCCTTCTAATGCGGATTTTGTCAAATGCTTTTTCTGCATCTATTGAGATGATCATATGATTTTTGTTTTTAATTCTGCTTATGTGATGTACCACATTTATTTACCTGTGTATGTTAAACCATACCTGCATCCCTGGTATGAAACCCACTTGATCATGGTGTATTATCTTTTTGATATGCTGTTGGATTTGGTTAACTAGTATTTTGTTGAGGATTTTTGCATCCTGGTATGAAACCCACTTGATCATGGTGTATTATCTTTTTGATATGCTGTTGGATTTGGTTAGCTAGTATTTTATTGAGGATTTTTGCATTCTGGTATGAAACCCACTTGATCATGGTGTATTATCTTTTTGATATGCTGTTGGATTTGGTTAGCTAGTATTTTGTTGAGGATTTTTGCATCTATATTCATCAGGGATATTGGTCTGTAGTTTTCTTTTTTTTTGTTATGTCATTTCATAGTTTTGGTATTAGGGATACCAGCTTCATAGAAGGACTTAGGTAGTATTCCATCTTTCTCTATCTTTTGGGATAGTTTCTGTAAGATGGGTACCAATTTTTCTTTGAATGCCTGATAGAATTCAGCTGTGAATCCATCTGGTCCTGGACTTTTTTTTGTTGATAATTTTTTTTATTACTGTTTCACTCTTGCTGCTTGTTATTGGTCTGTTCAGAGTTTCTATTTCTTCCCAGTTTTATCTAGAAAGGTTGCATGTTTCCAGAAATTTATCCATCTCCTCTAGATTTTCTAGTTTGTGCACATAAGGGTGTTCATAGTAGCCTGGAATGATCTTTTGTATTTCTGTGGTATTGGTTGTAATATCTCCCATTTCATTTCTAATTGAGCTTATTTGGGTCTTCTCTTTTCTTTGCTTGGTTAATCTCACTAATGGTCTATCAATTTAGTTTTTTCAAATAACTAGCTTTTTGTTTCATTTGTCTTTTGTATTTTTGTTGGTTTCAATTTCATTTAGTTCTGCTCTGATCTTTGTTCTTTCTTTTCATCTGCTGGGTTTTGGTTTGGTTTGTTCTTGTTTCTCTAGCTCCTTGAGGTGTGAGCTTAGATTGTCTATTTGTCTTTCAGACTTTTTGATGTAGGCATTTAATGCTGTGAACTTTCCTTTTAGCACGACTTTTGCTGTATCCCAGAGGTTTCGATAAGTTATTTAACTATTATCATTCAGCTCAAATAATTTTCAACTTTTAATTTTGATTTCATTGTTGACCCAAAGATCATTCAAGAGCAGTTTATTTAACTTTCATGTATTCATATAGTTTTGAGGATTCCTTTTGGAGTTAACTTCCAGTTTTATTCCATTGTGGCCTGAGAGGATACTTGATATAATTTTGATTTTCTTAAATTTGTTGAGACTTGTTTTGTGACTGACTATATGGTCTGTCTTGGAGAATGTTCTGTGTGCTGATGAAAGGAATGTGTATTCTGCAATTGTTGGGTAGAATGTTCTGTAAATATCTGTTAAGTCCATTTGTTCTAGGGTATAGTTTAAGTCCATTTTTTCTTTGTTGACTTTCTCTCTTGATGACCTGTCTAGTGCTGTCAGTGGAGTATTGAAGTCCCCCACTATTATTGTGTTGCCATTTATTTCATTTCTTAGTTCTAGTAGTAATTGTTTTATGAACTTGGGAGCTCCACTGTTAGATGCATATATATTTAGAATTGTGATATTTTCCTGTTGGACTAATCCTTTTATCATTATGTAATATCCCTCTTTGTCTTTTTTAACTGTTGTTGCTTTACTGTCTATTTTGTCTGATACAAGAATAGCTACTTCTGCTTGCTTTTGGTTTCCATTTGCATGGAATATCTTTTTCACCCCTTTACCTTAAGTTTATGTGAGTCCTTATGTGTTAGGAGAGTCTCTTGAAGACAGCAGATACTTGGTGTATGGATTTTTATCCATTCTACCATTTTGTATCTTTTAAGTGGTGCATTTAGGCCATTTACATTCAACGTTAGTATTGAGATGAGAGGTACTGTTCTATTAATTATGCTAGTTATTGCCTTTTTCCCATTGTGTGATTATTTTATAGGCCCCGTGAAATTTATGGTTTAAGGAGGTTCTGTTTTGGTGTATTTCAAGGTTTTGATTCAAGATTGAGAACTTCTTTTAGCACTTCTCATAGTGCTGGCTTAATAGTGGTGAATTCTCTCAGCATTTGTTTTTCTGAAAAAGACTTTATGTCTCCTTCATTTATGAAGCTTAGTTTTGCTGGATACAAAATTCTTGGGTGACAATTATTTTGTTTCAGGAGGCTAAAGATGGGACCCCAATCTGCTGAAAAATCTGCTGTTATTCTGATAGATTTCCCTTTATAGGTTATTTGATGCTTTTGTCTTGCAGCTCTTAAGATTTTTTCCTTCATCGTAACTTTAGATAACCTGATGACTATGTGCCTAGGTGATGATCTTTTTGCAATGAATTTCCCAGATGTTCTTTGAGCTTCTTGTATTTGGATGTCTATGGAGTTAATTTTTTTTAATATGGTGTAAGGAAGGGGTCCAGCAGTAATGTCCCCTCTTGCATTCCTAATTTTAATAATTTGAATCTTCTCTCTTTTATATTGGTCAGTCTAGCTAAAGGTTTGTTAATTTTGTTGATCTTTTGAAGAAACAACTTTTTTATTTTGTGAATTTCAGCTATTGTTTTTCTACTTCTTATTTTATTAATTTCCACTGTAGTCTTTGTTATTTCCTCCCTTCTGCTTTGTTTTTAGTTTGTTTTCCTTTTTTATAGTTCTTTAAGATGGAAGTTTAGATGATTAATTTGAGTGAGGGGCTGCCTAGTGGAGCTGTGAGAAGAGGGTCACTGTCCTCTAGACCCAAGAATGGTAGATCCACCAACAGCTTGCACCATGCACCAGGAAAAGCCACAGACACTCAACGCCAGCCCATGAAAGCAGCTGGAGGGAGGCTGTACCCTGCAAAGCCACAGGGGCAGAGCTGCCCAAGATCATGGGAACCCACCTCTTACATCAGTGTGACCTGGATGTGAGATCTGAAGTCAAAGGAGATCACTTTGGAGCTTTAAAATTTGACTGCTCTGCTGGATTTCAGACTTGCATGGGCCCTGTAACCCCTTTGTTTTGGCAAATTTCTCCCACTTGGAATGGCTGTATTTACCCAATACCCATACCCACATTGCATCTAGGAAGTAACTAGCTTGCTTTTGACTTTACAGGCCCATAGGCAGAGGGGACTTACTTGCCTGGTCTCAGATGAGACTTTGGACTGTGGACTTTTGGGTTAATGCTGAAATGAGTTAAGACTTTGGGGGACTATTGGGAAGGCATGATTGGTTTTGAAATATGAGAACCTGAAATTTGGAAGGGCCAGAGGTGGAATGATATGGTTTGGCTGTGTTCCCATCCAAATCTCAACTTAAATGGTATCTCCAAGAATTCCCACATGTTGTGGGAGGGTCCCAGGGGGAGGTAATTAAATCATGGGGTCCATGATTCCTGTGCTATTCTTGTGATAGTCAATAATTCTCACGAGACCTGATGGTTTATCAAGGGTTTCTGCTTTTGCTTCTTCCTCATTTTCTCTTGCTGCTGCCATGTAAACAGTGCCTTTTGCCTCCCATCATGATTCTGAGGCCTCCCCAGCCATGTGGAACTGTAAGTCTAATTAAACCTCTTTTTTCCCCCAGTCTTGGGCATGTCTTTATCAGCAGTGTGAAAATGGACTAATACAGTAATATATAAAAAGTTTGCTGCTATATTGCTCCATTTACTCTCCTCTCCTTTGTCCTGTTATTGTTATACAAATGACATCTTTGTATGTTGTATGCCCATCAGCACAGATTTATGGCTATTGCTTTATGGAGTGCATTTAAAATTAAGTAGGCAAAAAAAGAGAGTTGCAAACAAAATATGCAATTATACTCTCTTTTATAATTTCCTATGTATTGAGCTTTACTAGTACTTTTATTTTTTCTTGTGGATTTGAGTTACTATCTAGTGTCCTTTTATTTTAGCCCAAAGGGCTTCTTGTAATTTTTATTGTAGGGCAGGTCTGCTAGCTATAGATTCTTGCAGTTTTTGTTTATCTTAATGCCTGCTTCGTGTTTGAATAATAGTTTTGCTGGATGTAGAATTCTTGGTTGACAGTCTTTTCCATTCAGCATTTCAAATGTGTCATTCCATTACCTTATGGCCTCCATTATTTTTGATGAGAAATCAGCTGTTAATGTTATTTATGAGTTCATGTATATGATGAGTTGCTTCTTTCTTGCTGTTTTTAAGATGCTGTCTTGGTCTTTGTCTTTTGACAGTTTGTTTGCAATGTATCTTGGTCTCAGTTTCTTTGTGTTGATCCTCCTTGGAGTTCGCTGAGTTTTCTTGGATGTGTAGATTAATGTTTTGCATCAAATTTTTAGCTATTTGGTCATTATTTCATCAAATATGCTTTTTATATTTTTCTCTACTCTACATTTTGGACTCCCATTATGCATGTAGTTTATATGCCTCATTATGTCCTAGAAGTTTCTGAGAATCTGTTCATTTTTTTGTCATTCTTTTTCTTTTCTGTTCCTCATACTGGATCACCTCTATTAATGTATATTTTAGAATCTTGATTTTTAATTTGGCCTGCTCAAATCTGCTGTTGAGTTCCTCCAGTGAATCTTCATTTCAGTTTTTATAATTTTTGTATTCTAGAACTGCTATTTGCTGTTTTTTTAAAAAAAATTTCTATCTTTTTATTGATATTCTGTATTTGGTAAGAAATCATTTTCAGACTTTACTTTTTAAGATATGGTTGCCTTTAGTTTTCTGGAGATATTTAAAATTGCTGATTTAAGTGTTTCTCTGGTAAATATAAAGTCTAGGCTTCCTCAAGTATAGTTTCTTTTGATTGCTTTTTTCCTTGTGTTTAGGCCATAACTTATTGTTTCTTTACATGTATTATAGTTTTTTCTTAAGAACTGGACATTTTAAATTATGTAATGTGGCAGCTCTATAAATCAACTTTTCTCTCCCTCTTCACCCAGGGTTTGTTGTTGTTTGTTTGTTTGTTTAGTGGCTTTTCAGAATTAATTGTGTCAAGTCCAGATTCTTTGTCATGTGTGGCTGCTGAAATCTCTGCTCAGTTAGTTTGGAGATCAGCTAATGATTGGGTAGCAAATCCCTTAACTATCTGGAACCAATAAGTTTTCTAGTTTCTGCCAAGGGGCTCTGTGTGTTTTGGGGCATGCCTTTATTAGTCAGTTGTGTGGTTTTCGTGTCCACCTTAGCCATCACTTGCTGCTTGCACAGAGCCTCAAGGTCAGCCAGAGACAAGAATTTGGGAACTTCTCAGGTCTTTTCTGAGAATGCTCACAGCCCTGGATATGCACATAGCCTTACACATGCATGTAGCCTCCTAGAGTCCCAAGAATATGTCAGCCTTCTGTGGACATTTCATTACTCAGCTTTTACTTTTTATTTTTTTAGTTAGCCTGTTTTTCGTTCCACCTGTTGTCACTGCTTCAGGCAGTCACTATGTGAAACAATTGCTACTGATCTGTTTTCTACAAGTGCCTCCCCCTTCATCCCAGAAAAGGTCATTTGCACTGTTTGTATCTTATTTGAATCAGGTCAAATAAGGACAAGCTTTGGGAGTGGGATATTTCAAAGACCAACCTGACAAGTTGCATAATGACAATTCTCTGGGAACAGGGCTTTCAAGGAAGTTTAATCCCTTTCTTCCTTCTTCAGTGGTTCTGGTTTTTACTGTGATTGCTGGCTATTGGTTTTTAAGGCTACCAAAGAGCAAGGGAGGAGGAGATGGGAATAAGCAATTAAAAATGTCACAGAACTCTCTGTTCTTGCCTAGATTCAGCTGTTTACACGAGTAAAGGATCCTTGGATTAATGCAAGGCTTGGTTAATTTCCAGAGGTCAGGAAAAGTTGATTGTGACAGTTTTCCCAATGTATTTATTGCTTATATGAAGGGGAGAATTTTTGGAGGTCATTACTGCCATTCACAGTGCTATCTGCATTGTTTTTAACAGTGAAAACCTGATAACAAGAAGAACATTTGTACCATGGAATGTTGTGAAACTACTCAGAAGAAAGAGTTTTAGTTGTCTCTTGACATGGAGGAGTGTGGCAATGTTTTAAATGAGAAAAATTATATATATATAGAGAGAGTGAGCACATAAATGTGGGTATCTATGTCTCTATCTATCCATCTATCTTCAATTTTCCTAAAATTATAACAACTGAAAGCTCCTATGTGTCTATATTTTCCTTTGAGTATGGGGACAGGTGTATAAGGCAAATCCTGGGGTGTCAAGTTGGTTGTAGTGAGATTTTGGGAATAAATGGGGAGAGGATGTGTGGAAAAGCATATTAGCTTTTTCTTTATTATCTTTGCATAGTTTCAGAGATTGTGGTGAACATGTGTTGCATTTGTTATTTTTGAAGGTGACATCTTAAGAAATATTTATGGGGGACAAAACCATCCATTATTCTACAATCCTCAAGAATTTTACATTTAAAGTTTTCTCTTTCTTCTTTGCTTTCTACAGCCGTATAAATATACTTTCATAGTCACAGCAGAGATACATTAGTATTCTTTTTCATGTGAACCAAACTATTTCATAGTTTAAAAAATTAAATGTTGCACTGGCTCTCCATGTTTCCTAGGACTATTTTTTAGACTCAAGAGAGAAGAGTTGTTCAGTGGATGCCAAAACATGCAGCTGTGCTTATGATAAAGCGGTGATGGCTGAAACAATTGGCAGGGCCTCCTACAGCCATTGCTTCCTGCCAAGCACAAGCCTTCAGGATGTGATGAAAGGGCAGGGAGAGCTTTGCAGGCAGGCTCACTGCTGTGTTGTGGAAGTCCTTTTGGATTCTTAAGAGACATTCTATTGTCCTGTGTATTCAGCCTCAAGTGGCCACTCTAAAATGTTTAGTCACCCAAGACTTTGAAGAGCTCTTTACTCTTGAGTGGAGGCATAAGGAGAAGCCCAAAGCCCTCTACTATCTGACTCATGCCTTGCTGTTGCTACTTCAGTGTCCTTCCTGTGCTGAATGACCTGCAAATTCAGGGAGAGATCCTAGAGGACCCTATAGCAGTCTTAGCACGGACACAGCAGGTTTCTGCTGCACCTGGCTGGTGGTCTTTGGTCAACTTCTTGAACTCTCTCTCTGCTTCCCCCTGATTCCCTAAACAGTTAATATGAGTAGTAACACTTCCCGACCATATGGCTGTCTCTAAACCTTCATCCTTAGCAGGTGTGTGTGGGAGTGTGATACACACAGGGGTACCCACTGTCTCCCAAGCTCCAGGACAGATGTGTGGCCTGGCACATTTGTTTGGGGGTTCTGGGCTATTACTCTTGCATGTTGCTTTTCTTGCCCCTGTTTCTTATCTCTTTTTCATCCAAGCTCACCTACCCTTTTCCTTTTGATTAAGCAAATGGTGCTATATTCAGGACAATGATGTTTTTATCATGTTGCCTGGAGCTCATCCCTCATCTCTGATACTGTTGTGATGTTGTGAGAAGGCACGGAAGCACTGTGGGCTGTGGGGCATGGTGGGCACCATACTATCACTGAGAAGACATGAGTGAAGACCACTCACGTCCACAGGCCCACATGAGTGAAGATCCAGCCCTGCTTGGAAGAATGCATGGGCAGCATCGCCTGTGTGTGTGTGTGTGTGTGTGTGTGTGTGTGCAGAACTGAGAAAAGATAAGGATGTCTTGCATTACGCAGTGGAAGTATAGTAGCGCTGGTCTTTCATAAGTTAATGGGCATGATGAGTTAACCTATATTCCTAGAAAAATCAGAACAGAACTCCATGAACATGAATGAATACGTGTGTTTAGGAAAGTCAGAGTTTCAGTATTGATCCATCAGAGAAAAGACCTAAGCAAAACCGGATAATTATGCAGAGTAATCTGCCATCAGTAATAATAATATATATTTTTTGAGAAGGAGTCTTGCTGTATCGCCCAGGCTGGAGTGCAGTGGCGCAATCTCGGCTCACTGCAACCTCTGCCTCCTGGGTTCCAGCGATTCTCCTGCCTCAGCCTCCTGAGTAACTGGGACGACAGGCACACGCCACCACTCCTGGCTAATTTTTGTATTTTTTAAGAGAGACGAGGTTTCACCATATTGGCCAGGCTGGTCTTGAACTCCTGACCTGGTGATCCACCCACCTTGGCCTCCTAAAGTGCTGGGATTACAAGCTTGAGCCACCATGCCTGGCCAGTAATAATACTTTTTAAAAACACCTTGATTATAAGCTGCGGCTTTAGCAAATGCTTGGCTCCACATGGTGCTGATGATGTGTCTGGCATGTTTAACTTCCTGCTTTGAGCATTTTATGTTAAGAGTCCCTGAAGACATTAGGGGACTGGTTGAGTGGAGGGACAGAAGCGGGAAGTGGTTAGATGAGAAGCTGAGTGTGCGTACAAGTGTGTGTGTTCATCCTTGCCTCAGAACACTAGGTAGGTGTGCTGTGTTATTTACAAGCTAGGGGTGGGGGGGGCACTGGTTGCAGCCTTTATATTGAAGAGAGGTTTCCACTTTGGACCCTCCTGTGGGTCAAGGGAAGAAGGCAGTGATAAGTGTGTCCTTCCACTTACATTACTTTTGTCAAACATGCTAAGTTGACAGCATTTGCTAAAATACTTAGCTACTCCCTTAAGGGGCATCTTGGCTTCATGTGATGATTGGCGATTAGTAATGACTCATCACTGGTGAGAAGTTAAGAGCACACCCTACAAAGACACAGTTGGATTATACAAGTCTTGCCCTAGTTAGAATGTCCCGCTAATGAGTGCAAGGAGCTGGGGTGAAAGAGTGGCAGATGTGCCACGGATGGTTTCCAGCAGTCCTTTCTTAGTTACTTAGGATGTCAGAGGGGTTTGTACACTCAGTTCCTCCAGAGCCATCCACTTACTTGCACTCTTAGGTAAATAGCTCTTGGTTATGGCAAGCCTGGCTAATTCACTAAGTCTTTCAGGTACTTAGTGACAGATGCTGTGTGATTTGTGGGACACCACAGGGAGCAAGCTGGAAGGCTTGTGGTCCAGCGGTCCTTGCAGGTTTCACAGCAATAGGCTTCATGCCATCCCTGCCCTGAAAAGCTGCTGGAGGCAGCACAGTGTGATGATTTAACACACAGGCATCGGATTCATAGCAGAGTGGCTGCAAAATTGTATCTGAATGCAGCAAGGCCTCAGCAAAGTTATTTACCTTCCTATGTACCAGCTTCCTTATGTGTAAAAGACCATAGTAGCACTAGGACCCTAGGATTATCCAATTATTACTGGAGAGCTATCTATCTATCTATCTATCTATCTATCTATCTATCTATCTATGTATCTAAAAGGAGATATATTAAAGGAGATATGTGAAAGAACTAAACACTGTGCTTAAGAAATAGCCCTCAGTAAACATCAGTTGTTATTGTTGGACACAAGCCTGGTGGACAGGGCAGAGATGAATATGTAAAACTCTATCACTACTATTAAAAACAACAGGAACAATACCATGGATAGACAAGCTTTATTATTTTCATGTGCCAAAGACTGAGCCTTTGGGTTCCTATGAATAACTGGCTTTCCTAAATTTTGAGAAAGTTTCACTTACAGTGATGTAAATAAGAGAATTAAGCCCTAAATACAGGATCTCCATTTAAAGATTAACACGTGTATGAAAACAAAAACCCCTATCTGGCTCTTAACTACCCCTTCTGTTTGAAAGGGATGTGGGGGTCGTTGGCAATCCCCTTCCACTCTTTTAAACTGAAAAGTTGAGAAATGCATATGGTTAGAAAATGCTGAGTTAAAAATGTGTGAAAAATCTTTCTGGTTCTGGACCTCAGTCCTTCTCCCCAGAAGTAACTATATTGTCAGTTTTTGTCAAATATCTACTTATCCTCCTACTAATTTTTGAAATTTTATTTGTGGTAAGATATACATAACATAAAAGTTGCCATATTAACTTTTTTTTAAAATTTGTTTTTTATTTTTAAGAAACAGGGTCTTGCTCTGTCACCCAGGCTGGAGTGGAGTGGAGTGATCATGGTCCACTGTAGCCTTGACCTCCTGGACTTAAGTGATCCTCCTACCTCAGCCTTCCTTGTAGCTGGAACTACAGGCATGTACCACCACATGCAGCTATTTTTTATTTTTATTTTGTGGTAGAGATGGGGGCCTTACTATGTTGTTCAGGCTGGTCTTGAACTCCTGGCTTCCAGCGATCCTCCCCTTTCAGCTTCCCAAAGCACTGAGATTACAGGCATATGCCATGACTCCCAGCTCCATATCAACCATTTTTTTTAATGATACAGTTCAGTAGTGTGGGTACATTCACAGTGTTTTGCAACCATCACGACCATCTATCTCCAGAACTTTTTCATCTTGCAAAAGCGAAACTCTGTACCCATTAAACAATTTCTAATTTCCTCCTCTCCCAATCCCTGGCAATACTCATTCTATTTTCTGTTGTTATCAATTTGCCTATTCTAGGTACCTCATGTAAGTGGAATTATACAGTATTTGTGCTTTTGTGACTGGCTAATTTCAGTTAGCATAATGTTTTCAAGGTTATCCATGTTGTAGCATATGCCAGAATTTCCTTCCTTTTTCAGGCTGAATAATATTCCATTGTGTGCATAGACCACATTTTGTTTGTCTATCCATCTATCAGTGGAAGTTACATAAGTGTCCACCAAAAGATGAATAGACAAATTTGTGTGAATGGGTCAATCTTAAAATTTTAGAATCAATTTGTCTATATCCACAAAAAACTTGCAATAATATTGTTTGGGATTATGTTGAACCTATAGATCAAGTTTGGAAGAACTAACACCTTAACAATATTGAGTCTACCCATCCATGTACATGGAACATCTCTCCATTTATTTAGATCTGTTTTGATTTCTTTTATCAGAGTTTTATAGCTTTCCGCATGTGGATCTTGTACATATTTTGCTGGATTTATACCGAAGTATTTCATGTTTTTTGGGTGCTAATGTAAATGGCATGGTGTTTTCAATTTCAAATTCCAATAGTTTCTTATTGGTATATAGGAAAGCAATTGATTTTTGTGTATTAACCTTGCATCCTGAAACCTTGCTGTAATTGTTTATTAGTTGCAGGAGTGTTTTGTCAGTTCTTCGGGACTTTCTGCATAGACAGTTATGCCATCTGCGAACAAAGACAGTTTTATTTCCTCTCTCTCAATCTGCGTACTTTTTATTTCCTTTTCTTGTCTTATTGCATTAGCTAGGACTTCCAGTATGATGCTGAATAAGGATGGTAAGAGTGGACATTCTCACCTTTTTCCTGATCTTAGTGGGAAAACCACTAGTTTTTCACTATTAAGCATGGCTTTAGCTATAGATTTTTCTGTGTGTGTGAACTTTTTGTTCAATTTGAGGAATTTTTCCTCTATTTCTAGTTTGCTAAGAGTTTAAATCATGAATGGTTGTTGGATTTTGTTAAATGCTTTTTCTTCATTTATTGATTTAATCATATGATTTTGGGCTTTCATTTCTGTTATTGATTTCTAGTTTAATTCCATTGTGGTCTGAGAGCAGATTTTGTATGATTTCTATTCTTTTTAATTTGTTATGGTGTGTTTTATAGCCAAGAACGTGGTCCATCTTGGTGAACTCTTTGTGTGAAATTGAGAGAATATGTTCTCTGTTGTTGTTGGATGAAGTATTCTATAAATGTCAGTTCTATCTAGTTGATTCATGATGCTATTCAGTTCAACTATACCCTTGCTGATTTTCTGCCTGCTGGATCTTCCAACTCCTGATAGAGGGGTGTTGACATCTGCAACTATAATAGTGGATTTACCTATTTATTCTTGCAGATCTATCACTTTTGGTCTCATGTATTTTGACACTATGTAGTTAGTGCATACACATTAAGGATTGTTATGTCTTCATAGAGAATTGACCCATTTATCATTATGGAATGCTCCACTTTATCCCTGATAATTTTCCTTGTCCTGAAGTCTGCTTTTACTGAAATTAACATAGCTATGCCAGTTTTCTTTTGCTTAGTGTTAGTGTGGTATATCTTTCTCCATCCCCTCACTTTTAATCCATCTGTGTCTTTTTATTTAAAGTGGGTTTCTTATAGATGATATATAGTTGGGTCCTGACAGTCTCTCTCTTTTAATTGGTTCATTTAGACCATTCACATTTAAAATGATTACTGACATAGCTGGATGAATACCCACCATATTTGTTACTGTTTTATATTTGTTGCCCTTGTTTATTCTTTCTTTTTTCTTTTCTTTTTTGTCTTTCACTCTTTTTCAGTCTTCTCTGGTTTTAACTGATCATTTTATATGGTTCTATTTTCTCCTATTCTCTTAGCATGTCACTTACACTTTTAAAAAACAACTTTTTTTAGTGGTTGCCCTGGGTTTACAAAATATAGGTACTTATTCCAAGGCATTCTTGAGTAACACTATACCACTTCATGGGTAGTGCAAGTACCTTAGAGTATTCCCAATTCTCCTCTCCCATTTTGTATAACATTTCCGTCATTCATTTCACTTTTCCATAAGCTACAATCACAGAATGGCTTTTTGCTATTATTTTTCGAGCAAACTGTTATCTTTTAAATCAATTAAGAATAATAAAAATTAACCCGGGTGCAGTGACTCACACCTGTAATCCCAGCACTTTGAGAGGCTGAGGCAGGAGAATCACTTGAGCTCAGGAGTTTGAGATCAGACTGGGCAACACAGTAAGACCCCATGTTTACAAAAAGTAAACCAAATTAGGTACTTATGGTGGTATGCACCTGTAGTCTTAGCTACCAAGGAGTCTGAGGTGGGAGGATTGCTTGAGCCTGGGAGGTTGCAGTGAGCCTTGAGATTGTGTCACTGCAGTCCAGCATGGGCAACAAAGTGAGACCTAAGAAAAGTTTAAAAAACTAACCTTCACTTAATTGCTCTCTAATGTTCTTCCTTTCTTAATGACTTTCTTCCCTGTATCATTTTCCTTTTCTCTGAAGAACTTCTTTTTAACATTTCTTGCAAGGCAAGCCTACTGGAGATAAATTAATCTTTATTTTTCTGAGAAAGTCTTTATGTTCTTTTACTTTTGAAGAACAATTTTGCAGCGTACAGAATTCTAGTGTGTTGTTATTGTTATTTTTCTGTCAACACTTTAAATATTTCACTACACCTTCCTTGCTTGCAAAGTTTCTGAAGAGAAGTCCTGTGTAATACTTATCCTTGCTCCTCTATTGATAAAGTGTTTCTTTCTCCTTTCAATATTTTTCTCTTTGTTTATGATTTTCTTCTGCTTAAACAGGATGTACCTAATTGTACAGTTTTTGGTATTTACTCTGCATGGTGTTCTCTGAGCTTCTTGGCTGTAAAGTTTTGTGTCTGTCATTAAATTTGAAGCATTACCAGTCATTCTTGTTTCAAATGTTTCTTCTGTTGCTTTCTCTCTTTTGTCTCTTTCTCATATTCCCATTATGTGTATGTTACAGCTCTTGTAATTGTCCTACAGTTCTTGGGTATTCTGTTCTATCTTTTAATTTTCTTTTTGATCTTTACATTTCAGTTTTAGAAGTTTCTACTGACATATCTTCAAGTTCACTGATTCTTTCCTTGGCCATGGAGTTTATTGATGAGCTCATCAAAGGCATTCATTTCAGTTGTAGCATCTTTGATTTCCAGCATTTTCTTTGGAATCTTTCTTAGAGTTTCCATCTCTATGCTTACATTACCCATTTTTTCTTGAATATTGCCTACTTTTTTCATTAGAACCCTTGGCATATTAATTACAGTATTTTTTAATTCCTTGTCTGATAATTCCAATATATTTGCAATATCCAAGTCTGGTTCTGATGCTTGCTCTGTTTCTTCTGTGTTTTTAGAGTTTTCATACACATCCTAATCTCTTGTTAAAAGCCAGGCATGATGTGCTGGGTAAGAGACACTGGTACTGGTTCCTGAAGCTGTTTTCTTTCTTGGGCCTCTGCTCCAGTACAATGTGAATCTCTGTATTTGCCTATCTGTCTCTCCATTTTGGGGGCAGCAGTTTTCCCTGGGACTGCAATTCTTTGATGGATCTAAGAAGAGTTGTTGATTTTCAGTTTGTTTAACTCTTTTCTTGTTGTGAGGATGGAAGTGATGATCGCTTCCAAGCTCCCTACATAGTGGAGTGGAAACTGGAAATCATCTACCTATTTCTACTATTGAAGTTGTAGAAACATGAATAAACAAAATTTGTGACTAACGTATGCTTTTACTATCTGAATGTATACTTAGAACATTCTCTTGAATTTGTGTGTCATTTGCTGGTACAGGATCTTACGAGAATAGAGGATGTGGCATTGTGAAGCAATGCACAGAAATGAATGGCTTACAAAGAATGACTTGAAGACATGCTAACAGATGGCAAAGAAATAATTTAAACCTAGAGATGAGATCTCCCTTGGCATGCTTCTTGTTTTGAGGAAGAAGGAAAGACAAGAAAGTACCTTTATTATATAAATATCAAATATACTTTTTTGGAAGTATGATGTTCAAATTTGAACATTCTATACATGAGAAAGTCTTGACTAATACATGGTAAAAAATAGGGCAGTCACTTCTTTAGTACTGGCACTGCATGTTGGTTAAATAAAGTAAAACATTATATTTGGTAAGGTAGAAAACCAGTTTTAAATTTATTCATAATTCAGATTTAATTTTTTGACTAGGTAATACTTGCACATGCTGCCAATTCAAAAGGGACAGAGGCAGTGATGGCATGTCCTCTTGGCACTGCTGTCTCCATCACCACACCCCTGGAGTCAGCCAGGCCACTGGCATGTGTGTGCTCAGGGCTGCCCTCCGGGTATGATAACACACACACCTGAGTGCCTGTAACAGAGTGGGTGCCCTTCCCCCTGTGCAAAGGTACTATGCTGAAATGCCATTCTACATCTCACTTTTTAAATTTTTTTACTTAAAAATACATCTTGAAGTATTAAGGGAGGCAAAGTGATGAAGAGCAGGTACTGTGTGTGGCTGCAGCAAGTGTGGGCAGAATGGGGACTTTCAATCAACTCATCTGCAGACCATGTAGAATGGTGCCAAATTAGTGTGACCTCTAAGACCCCCAGCAACCTCATGCAAAATGTGAACCTCATCCTTCTGGCCAGTGACTACAGAACATGAACAAAATCCCACACCAAGTCCACACTGCACCATCCAAGGGCAAGATCTTACCCATGTCACACCGTGATGCAGCAACAGTAACCTTGAATTTGGAAAGAATTCCTGGGCTGGTTTTGATATCACCCTTGGCCTTGGAGGAAAATACGCAGCTGAGGCTAGGATTGTGCCAGCTGGGCGGAACACTTAGGTGGTAGCTACTGAAAATTACCCTCAGATAGAAGGGACTGCCTGCATCCTGACCTAAGCACGGTGACCAAAGAAGAGTGAATGACTCAAAGCTGCAGAAATCCCTTCAGTCGGCAGAGTCTGTTGGGGCAAAATCAGCTGACGTTGGTGTCAGCTCAGCCACGGACTCTTCTGAATGAATCACGGAGGAGGATCCTGCAAAATCCAGTATTCCCTGAGATCCTGGAGAACCTTTTGGGCATGGACTCAGAACTGTTGGGAATGTTACAAGTTCCCTGGCCTCCAGAACATGAGGGAGGGCTACAAGAAGTGAGGTTGGAGGGAAGGGTCCAGACGGCATGAGGCAGGCTGGGTTAAATTCATTCCCCACAGCAGCATTTCAATATTAAGGTGCACAGCACGATGACTTGACGTACATATACGCTGTAAGATGATTACCACGATCAAATTAGTTAACCCGTGCATCACCTCATATAGTTATCATTTTTGTCTCTTTTGTGGTGAGAACAGTTAAGATTGACTCTCTTATCCGCTTTCAAGTGTACAGTTCATTATTATTAACTATAGTCACCACGCTGTACAATAGATCTGCAGAACTTATAATTGCAAGTTTGTCCCCTCTAACTAACATCTCCCTAGTCTCTCCACCTCACTGTCCCTGGTAACCAGCATTCTACTCTCTGCTTCTATGAGTTAGACCTTTAATATAAGTGAGATCATGCGGTACTTGTCTTTCTCTGTCTGAATGATTTCCCTAAGCATCATGTCTTCCAGGTTCATCCATGTTGTCACAAATGACAGGATTTTCTTCTTCTTAAAGGCTGAATAGTGTTACATTGTGTGTGTGTGTGTGTGTGTATATGTGTGTGTATATATATGTGTATATATATATATATGTCACATTTTCTTTATCCATTAATTTGTTGATGGACACTTAGGTTGATTTCATATCTTGGCTATTGTGAATAGTGCTGCAATAAACATGGAAGCGAGCTGTCTCTTCAACATACTGATTTCAATTCTTTTGGTTGCGGATTGCTGGATCATGTGACACTTCTATTTTTAATTTTTGGAGAAACCTCTATACTCTTTTTCATAATGGTCATACCAGTTTTATTTGTCATTATACCTACCTCAATGAAGATGGAATAAAAGACAAATAAATCACTTCAGCCAACTCACTAGGCTGTAAACTTCATGTCTTTCTGCTTATCACTGTAGCCCTCTGTGTCCAGAATGATATCTGGATTAGCACAAACACTCAATGGGTATACATTAAATGAATGAATGAATCAACAGATGAGAGATGTACCTTTAAGAACAAACAAGTTTTAAAAGTGTTACAAATTTGTTCTTCCAAGTAGTTCAAAACTACCAATAAAATCTGTGTAAGTTCTGGAGATGGATGGTGTGGTGATAGCTGTGCTACGCTGTGAATGGACTTCATGCCACTGAATTGCATAAATAGTTAAAGTGGCAAATTTTATGTAATGCATAGTTTACCACGATAAAGTAAATTTACTTTTTAAATGGTAAAGTGCATAGGCATCATTTAGGAATCTTATTAACATGCAAATTCTGTTTCAGTAGGTCTGATATGGGTCCTGCCACTTTGCACTTCTAAAAAGCCTTCAGCCTGCCCACACTAATGGCCAAGGATCAGCCCGAGTAGCAAGACTCCAAATGAAATCTAAATAAAGCTGGAGATTTGTTTTCTTTTTTGTTAAATCTCTGTCTCCCCTACCTATTTACCTTAGAGACTGCTCTGAACCAATGCATTAAGAATTTCCTCCTTCTTCTTCTTATTTTTTTGAGCTGGGGTTTTACTCTGTTGCTCAGTCTGGAGTACAGTAGTGCAATCATGGTTCACTGCAGCCTCGACCTCCCTGGGCTCAAGTGATCCTACCACTTCAGCTTCTTGAGTAGCTGGGACTACAGGTGTGCGTCACCATACAAATATTTTCTATTTCATATTTTTTGTAGAGATGGGGTTCACCATGTTGCCCAGGCTGGTCTTGAACTCCTGGGCTCAAGAGATCCTCCCACCTCGGCCTCCCACAGTGTTGAGATTACAGGCCTGAGCCACCACACCTGGCTCCTCCTTCTTATTTGAAGGCTGTATTCGCTTTCCCTCATTTATTTCACCAGTCCCCTGTTTACTGATGGACAGTTAGGTGGACTCTCATCTTTGCTCTTACAAACCAGGCTGGAATGAATAAACTTGATCACAGGCATATTGCATGTATCTATGAAAAGATGTGAGTTCAAGTGCAGGAATGCATATGAGCACACTTTTGTGCTGAAAACTATGATTATTTTAATTAGTGATGACAGCAAAGATCACACTTTTTTGAAAGGAGGGTTTTATTTTTGACTCAGACTGAGCTGGCAGTCATCCGAGACCCTGTCATTTCTGCATGTGGTATTATTTAGCCACATTATCTTTCCCATCTTGTTCTTGTGCAATTGTTTTTCTGAAATCTAACTGTGGGATTGATTTACATAGCCTGTTAAATTCCATCTTGCTGGCTTCGGACTGTCGTTCTCACCTGTCAAGATAATTTTGGTTGTTGACTTTGCCATCTAATATTTCCCCCACCCGCCTGGGTTTATGCTATCTTCACATTCAGCAAGCACATTATTGCCATCCATTGGTTCATTTGGTGACTATTTATTGAGTGCACTTTGACATGCCAGGCATCTTTTTTTTGTTGTTGTTTTTGTTTTTTGAGACGGAGCCTTGCTCTGTCGCCCAGGCTGGAGCGCAGTGGTGCGATCCCGGCTCACTGCAATCTCCGTCTCCCAGGTTCAAGAGACTCTCCTGCCTCAGCCTCTCAAGTAGCTGGGATTACAGGCAAGTGACACCATGCCTGGCTAATTTTTTATTTTTAGTAGAGATGAGGTTTCACCATGTTGGCCAGGCTGGTCTTGAACTCCTGACCTCAGGTGATCCACCTGCCTCGGCCTCCCAAAGTGTTGGGATTACAGGTGTGAGCCATGGTGCCCAGCCACCAGGCACCAATCTAAGATCTGGGCATACAGCGGTGAACAAAACAGGAAGAAATCCCTATTTTCCTGGAGCTTTCATTCAAGTGTGAAAGACACATGAAACAAAGATAGGTACATATGGTAAACTCAGTAATGCCAAGTGCCGAGGAGAAAGATAAAGCAGAAGAGAGAGATAAAAGAGGAGAGGACTTTTTTTTTTTTTTCCCAATTTTAGATAGGGTGGCTAGAGAAAACCTCAAAGGAAGTGGTAACATTTGAGCTGAGATCTGAAGGTGTTTCTATCCAGTTCATTGGAAAACATGGTGGAAAAGAATTCTTTGATGTGTCCCTATAGGTCGATGTTAATCCATTAACTGGCACCTTTGGGTTACAACTGATTAATCCACGGAATTTCTCTGTAACTTAATTGTCTAACCTACATTTCTCTATGCCATCCTTGAAGATATTTTCGGATGTATTAGAACTGGATAGTCAGTGTCTGTGGTGTTTCCCTGATGTAGTCTAGTGAAACTCTCACACAGGGAAATGAGATTAATGTGAAAAGACTGTTTTTCTCTTGTCAACTTGGAGTCGCTGTTAGTGGTTACTGAGTGGCACAGCTGAGCAGGGCAGGCCGCTGTGGGCGAGTCAGTTTCCGTGGGCCATTTTCCATCTTTCTTGACCTCTTCTATAAAGTCCAGGCAAAAAGACCCAATCCTCTTACCAATGCTGTGGGAAATTAATTCTTTTCCCTAGTACACTTTGGCAAATGTAATTCTGAATAACAAACCACTCCTTTAGCTCACTCATTTCAGCCCAAACTGAAGGTGTGACCCTTCATTGACATCCCTCCTCTCTTGGGCGCAGCTGCCTCTTAGGGGTTGAGACTGTGTGCTGGCAGGTAGCACTCTCCAGCTGTCTTGCTGTTATCTTCACACTTACCTGCAGGCTGCAGTGTTGCCATGATTATCACCCAGCCCATGCACCAGGTTGGGTTTTCCAAGTGTACAAACAGGTTGGGTGGAGGTTTCAGGTAGACACTGAATTCATAGAGCAGACAAAGAAAGCATGGGAGGTTAGCTCTGAGTTCCAAGAATAAAGTAAAGCCAAGTGCCTTCATGAAGCCCCCATAATGTTTGTAATAAAGCTCACCACTGGGCTTTCTGGCCTCAGTTTCTTCATCTGCAGAATCCATGGGCTAGCCGTGATTATACTTAAGGCTAATACTTTACCCTGAATATTCAGGTTCTAGGTATATGCTTCATTAAAACTATCTAGGGCCTCAGAAGTTTAGAATTCTGATTTCGCAAAATTCTGATAAAAAATAAAATGTGTGAACATGAGGGCAGCAATCTTGGTAATAAGGAAAAGCCTGGGGTAGGGCTGGAAACCTCGTAGGCACAGAGGCCCTCCAAGAGGTCCCTTCCCATTGATCGGGCCGGGCTAGGGCAGTCACAGCGTGCTGGTCTGGTGGAGTTTATGCAGCAACACAAACAAGAAACGCAGCAGCAGGGACAGAAAATCCCCATGAAGTCTGCCTTCTGCAACTAACTCTCGGTCCACCCCTCTCCACATCTTGGTCTTCCCTTCCCAACCCCATTCACATCCTTCCAGGGGAGAACGTGCAAGAAATTTCTCCTTTCCTGCAAGCAAAGGAATCCAGTAGTGCCACCTTGGTCAGAATGGCCCTTTGTTCTGCTGTTTAATGACTAATTATGATGCTATGAGAGGCATACACAACTCTGGCAGAGCCAGGCCCTCCTGCTCCAGCAGGGCTGAGCGGCTGGAAGTGTGTAATCTTCGGAAAGCTGTGACTGCGACCTGGAGTTGCGTAAGAAATAATTACAGAATCCAGCCAGGGCTTGCTTCTTGCCACAGGCTCCAGGCTTTTACCCCCGGTAGCTTTACATGCTTGTTAATTTTTAAACTGTCGAGTAGTAGCAGAATATTTTGTAAGCTTCAGTAATGGTTGCAGAGTTCAGTTTGGGGCAAGGAGAGGAAAGGGAGGGCGGGGGAAGGAGGTGAAGGAGTGGGTCCCATTTGCTTCCAGAACAGTTTTGTCTTTCTGCAAGCCTTGGTCCTGTGGTAGGCCTAAACTTTCCTCCTTTACCATAGAAAAGGAGTTTAAAAACAAACATACAAGCCTTGTTAAAGTCTCTCAATTTTTAAAAACCAGTTCTTTAAAAAAAAAAATCCTTTGCAATACTCATTATCTTATAAAAGAGACCTCATGTATGATTTTAATCTTAAAAAGTAAGTAAAAAAAAATTCATGTAGCTTCTGGTTAGCTACCAGAATCTTAAGGAGAAGAAAGAAAGATTTTTATCTGTGAAAACTCCTGCATGCACTAGCGACAAAGCCTGATGCTCTAATCTGCTCAGACGGCCGAAGCTTCCAGTCTGAATCCGTGGCAGGCAGCCTCTTGACCTCCAAGCATCGGTCTCTTCTGCAAAATCAGGGCGCGTCCTCTGTTGGTCTGTGTACTTTTGTGGCGCCTATCACTGTGGGATCTGGGCTCAGAGACAAAAACATCAGGCAAAATACAAATTTGTGTATTATGGAAGGAAATGCCGTCTGGCTCCCTGGAGTCACCCTTGGCTTACGTGCAGTGAGGACTTTATCCCAGGGTGGTTTGCATATAGCCTAAGAAAAAGTGTGGACGAAACCAACCCTAGAGACTTCCTTGTTTTCATTTATAAAAGAAGCAACAAGTTAGTGTTTGTGAAGTTGGGTAAAATTACTTAAGTTTTAAAATGTGCTGCTAACTGTCTCCATTGAAACAGGTAACGGCCTTCTACTCAAAAGAATGAGGAGGTTTCTTCTCTCTTCCTTTCCTTTCCTTTCTCCTTCCCTCCTCCCTCCTTTAAACCTTTATGCTTTCCTTCCCTCCTTTGTTTTCTCCTCCTTTTTCTCTTTTGTATTCTTCCCCAAATAGTAAACTATGTTTGTCTTAATAGTAAAGTAATGCACATTAATGATAAAAATGACTTCTGCCAAGTAGAATACAAGAGTGTAAGGTAAAAGATAAAATGTTTTTCCAAAGATAAAAGACCTCTCCAGCTTTACCAGATACACAGAGGTAACTGCAATTTAAGTCTTTCTTAAAATCTTTCTGAAAATTTCCTCTGCACGTGCAAACTTTCACACAGACGGATATATATCTATTTAACCTTCACTGCAAATGGGGTCACACTCGATGTATTGTCCGCAGCACACTTCTCCTCACTCAACAGTGTATCTCAGAACCTTTCCACAAGAGCATAAGAATCCACCCATGCTTAATAGTCCATTGTGTGGTTTGTATCATAATGAATTTAACCAGTTTCTTAAATTGATATTAGCAAGTTTTCTCCCCCCATTTGGGGAGATTACAAACAATACAGCAAGACGTGTCCTGGTACCCTTGCACTCTTTGCACAGATGAGAGAACAAACCCTTAGGCTGAATTCTTAGCAATGAAATTGCTGGGTCAAAGGGTATGTAAATTTTACATTTTAATAGATATTGCCAAATTGCCCTGTGAAAAAGTTATATCAATTTACAACCCTATCAACATTATATGAACTGCCTATTTCCTCAAAACCTCACCAACTCCATGTGCTATGAAACTCTTAAATCTTTGCCAATAGGCAATAAATGGCAAATGATTATTGCTGTAATTCATGTTTCAAGTAAGGAAGACAACATTTTTTTGCATTTTATGGACTATTTGCATTATTTTCTGGAATCTGGCCTTGACTACTGTTTATTTTTATTGTATTTTTTTTTTTTAGTTTTAAAAATTGACTTTAAAAGCTTTATCATTACCTTTATTTGTCAGATAGGCCACAAATATGTTTCTCATTTGTCTATTGCTTAAACAAATAGAAGTTTACATTATTTAAAGACTCACACTTACCCACCTTTTCTTAGAAAGCATTTGGGGTTTGTGCCATGCACAGATGAGCCCTGCTTCTACAAAAAAGACTTAGGACTCTTCCATGCTTTCTCCCAGAGTTCTTATGGGCTCGCTTTACACATAGAAATCTTTGCTGTTTTAGACATGTGTTCTGGTGAATGGAGTGAGATGAGGACTGGGTTTGAGAAGATTTTGTTGGCTCCACATGGTTTTGCAAATCAACCTGCTGCTCCAGTGATGACATGCTGCTGAGGGAAGGTTTGGTGGTTCCTGGGAAGTTGAAAGGATCTGGGCAAGCTTTTTGTAAGATCCAGCAGAAGCTTACTCTCTTCTTCTTGCATAGAATATTCTGCTATTGGGCTAGGCGTGGTGGTTCACGCCTGTAATCCCATCACTTTGGGAGTCAGAGGCAGGCAGATCATGAGGTCAGGAGTTCGAGACCAGCCTGGCCAACATGGTGAAACCCCGTCTCTATTAAAAATACAAAAATTAGCTGGGCACAGTGACGCGCACCTGTAGTCCCAGGTACTCAGGAGGCTGAGACAGGAGAATCACTTGAACCCAGGAGACAGAGGTTGCAGTGAGCCAAGATTGTGCCACTGCACTCCAGCCTGGGCAACAGAGCAAGACTCTGTCTCAAAAAAAAAAAAAAAATTCTGCTCTTATTCTGGCTGACCTTTGAAGGAGGTCTCACAGAGTACAGGGAAAGATAGCAAGAAGATGGTGAGAGAAAAATGGAAAACTGAGGGCTCGTGGAGGAAAGGGAGAAACACAAACTTTAAATGGGATTAATCACTTATGTGCATAAACCTTAGAGCTAATAGGACCTATTTCTATTTTGACAATGTAAACATAGAAGACAGAGAATCACTGAGCTGAAAAAAACAATTGAGCAGATGAATTATCTTCATCTTTTTCCATCTAGTTATGCTTGAAAAGAAAATAAGGAGATTAAAAACTTTTTTGTTAGTCTCATTTCAATAACATTTTTGCATTGTATTTTTTGGTTTAACAGATTATTATTATTATTTTTTTTTTTGAGATGGAGTTTTGCTCTTGTTGTCCAGACTGGAGTGCAATGGTGTGATCTCAGCTCACTGAAACCTCTGCCTCCCAGATTCAAGCGATTCTCCTGTCTCAGCCTCCCGAGTAGCTGGGACCATAGGCGCATGCCACCACGCTTGGCTAATTTTTGTATTTTTAGTAGAGACAGTGTTTCATCATATTGGTCAGCCTGGTTTTGAACTCCTGACCTCAGGCAATCTGCCCGCCTTGGGCACTATGTAATCCCATAGTGCTGGGATTACAGGTGTGGGACACCATACCTGGCCAACAGATGAAAATTCTTATGGGAGAGTCAAGGCATCTCATTCGGTATACACCCTAGGTTTTTAGTGTTCCTCCTATAGTTTCTAAATGTGTGGGGTGTTTTCACTTTAAAGACCAAGTAAGTTAATTGCACTAATCAGTAATATCAGAGGTTTATATTTCTTGGCATGAATGGTATGACATGCATGTTGGCAAAGACCTATATGGCTTTGATTTGCAACATAAATAATCCTGTAGATCAAATTCCAGGTAATTTAGTTAAAAGTTACTGAAGGTATTTCCCCCCAAGTGTCTACCTCATGGTAAACTGTGTAATTTGTACAACAATTGTAGGTTGATTGATGAGGATTTGACTTCCTCATTAAAGGTTAAGGTGCACTTTTACTATTATTAATGCTGATTACCATTTGTTGAGTATCCACTCTGTACCATATACTAAATATTTACCATACTCAACAAATAGGTTTGGGTGTGCAGTATATATCTATATCTATATATAGATATAGATATATATAAATTAGAATTTCATCCTAATGTCCTACAAGGCCTGCAAGCCCAGGTCCATTGGATTTACCAGACCATTATATACACTAATTAAGGAAACTCAGAAAGCCAATACCGATTAGTAAGATGGACACCTGAAGCAGAAGCAGCTTTCCAGGCCCTAAAGAAGGCCCTAACCCAAGCCCCAGTGTTAAGCTTGCCAACAGGGCAAGACTCTTCTTTATATATCACAGAAAAAACAGGAATAGTTCTAGGAGTCCTTACACAGGTCCGAGAGACAAGCTTGCAACCCGTGGCATACCTGAGTAAGGAAATTGATGTAGTGGCAAAGGGTTGGCCTCCTTGTTTATGGGTAGTGGCGTCCGTAGCAGTCTTAGTATCTGAAGCAGTTAAAATGATACAGGGAAGAGATCTTACTGTGTGGACATCTCATGATGTGAACAGCATATTCTCTGCTAAAGGAGACTTGTGGCTGTCAGACAATCGTTTACTTAAATATCAGTAAAATATTACTTGAAGGGCCAGTGTTGTGACTGTGCACTTGTGCAACTCTTAACCCAGCCACGTTTCTTCCAGACAATGAAGAAAAGATAGAACATAACTGTCAACAAATAATTGCTCAAACCTACGCCACTTGAGGGGCCTTTTAGAGGTTCCCTTGACTGATCCCGACCTCAACTTGTACACTGATGGAATTTCCTTTGTAGAAAAAGGACTTCAAAAGGTGGGGTATGCAGTAGTCCTTCAAAATTGAAGAGCTTTAGACTTGCTAACCGCTGAAAGAGGGGGAACCTTTTTATTTTTAGGGGAAGAATGCCGTTATTATGTTAATTAATCTGGAATTGTCACTGAGAAAGTTAAAGAAATTCGAGATCGAATACAACGTAGAGCAAAGGAGCTTAAAAAACACTGGACCCTGGGGCCTTCTCAGCCAATGGGTGCCCTGGATTCTCCCCTTCTTAGGACCTCCAGCAGCTATAATATTGCGACTCTTCTTTGGACCCTGTATCTTTAACCTCCTTGTTAAGTTTGTCTCTTCCAGAATCGAAGCTGTAAAACTACTAATTGTTCTTCAAAAGGAGCCCCAGATGCAGTCCATGACTAAGATCTACCACAGACCCCTGGACCGGCCTGCTAGCCCATGCACCGATGTTAATGATATCGAAAGCACTCCCCCAAGGAAATTTCAACTGCACAACCCCTACTATGCCCCAATTCAGCAGGAAGCAGTTAGAGCGGTCGTCGGCCAACCTCCCCAACAGCACTTGGGTTTTCCTGTTGAGAGGGGGGATTGAGAGACAGGACTAGCTGGATTTCCTAGGCTGACTAAGAATCCCTAAGCCTAGCTGGGAAGGTGACTGCTTCCACTTTTAAACATGGGGCTTGCAACTTAGCTCACACCCAACCAATCGGATAGTAAAGAGAGCTCACTAAAATGCTAATTAGGCAAAAACAGGAGGTAAAGAAATAGCCAATCATCTATTGCCTGAGAGCACAGGGGGAGAGACAATGATTGGGATATAAACCCAGGCATTTGAGCCGGCAACAGCAACCCCCTTTGGGTCCCCTCCCTTTGTATGGGAGCTCTGTCTTCACTCTATTAAATCTTGCAACTGCAAAAAAAAAGAAAAGAAAAGTATGACATCCATTATTGAAATACATAAGGAACTCAAGCAACTCAATAACAAGAAAACAAATAACCCAATTTAAAAATGGGCAAAAGACATGAATAGACATGTCTAAGGAGACTTACAAATGGCCAAGAAATGGCCAACAAGTATATGAAAAAATGCTCAACATCACTAATCATCAGGGAAATGCAAATTAAAACCACAAGGAGATATCATCTCATACCTGTTAGAATGGCCATTATCAAAACCACAAAAGATAAATGCTGATGAGGATAGGGAGAAAAAAGAACCCTTGTACACTGTTGATGGGAATGCAAATTAGTACAACCATTATGGAAAACAGTGTAGAAACTCCTCAAAAAATTAGAAATAGAACTATCATAGGATCCAGCAATGCCATCACTGGGTGTATATCCAAAGAAAATGAAATCAGTATGTTGAAGAGATCTCTGCACCCCCATGTTCATTGCAGTACCATTCACAATAGCCCAGACATGGAATCAACCTAACTGTTCATCAGTGGATGAATGGAGAAAGAAAAGGTGGTATAAATACACAACGGAATACTATTCAGCCATAAAGAGAAGGGAATCCTGTCATTTGCAACAGTGTGGGTGAACTTGGAGAACATTTGGCTGAGTGAAATAAGCCAGGCACAGAGACAAATACTGCCTGATTTCACTTATATGTGGAAGGAATCTAAAAAAGTTGAACTCATAGAAACAGAGACTAGATGGTGGTTAACAAAAACCGTGTGTGGGGATGTTGGAGAGATCTTGGTCAAAGGGTGCAAAATTTCAGTTAGGAGAAATACATGCTGGAGATCTGTTATACAGCATGATGACTATAGTAAATTATAATGCATTGTATGCTGGAAAATTGCCAAGAGAGGAGATCTTAAATGTTCTCACCAAAAACAAACAATAAGTATGTGTTGTTGGGTATGCTGATTAGCTTGATTTAATCACTCCATAATGCATGCATATCAAATCATCACTTTGTATACAATCATATATAAAATAAAGAACAAATCAATCTTTAACCTGAGCCTGGTGCTGTACAAACCCTCAAATATGGGAGACCTGCCCTTCTATGATCCCTGCTTCATTTATTGTGGCATTAAAAAGTTCCTCTCATAAAGGAGACTATTAATCTCTCTCTATCTCACTCTGTCTACCTCTGTCTCCCAGAATTAATTCTAGGTGTAACTTTAGGTGATAGAAATGCAGAGTCTTCAGGATGAACCAGACAACTTTATTATGCTCTTAGAATTCAGGTTTATCAACTGTTCATTTCCATCCCTAAATAATAACAGCTAAATTTAAGTAGTGCTTACTATGTGTCAGGCACTGTTCCAAGAACTTTGCATATAATCACTCATTTAACCTTTACAAGAATGCTGTGAGGTCATTACTATTATTATCCTCATTTTATGGGAGAGGAAACAGGCACAGAGAGGTTACCTGCTCAAGGTTACAACAGATGACACATGGTTGAGCTGGGATCCAAATGTGGGCAGGCTGGCCTCAGAGTCCATGCTCTTAATCACTGAACTACATAGCCTCTTCACTCTCGAATCTTTAACTTTAGAAATCAGCTCTAGGCACGAGAGCTGTTACTGGATTGAAGATCCCATGGTAGGATCCCTGGGACCAAAGGCCCCTGTCCCCAGGCAAAGCCAGTGACTCAACACCTGAGCCTCAAGGCAAGGGGATCCCCATCTCAGCCTCTGTGGTGTGCTGGAGCAGGCTCCTACTAGCTCATGGCACAGCAGCCAGGGGTTGCATGTGCAGGAATGTCCCATCCAGTGTTTGGCTGCTGATGGTTTGAGATGGGCCATTGTGAGTACATTTTCACCATGGAATTTAGCAAATGCTGCAAGTCAGAGGCCATTTCCTAGATCACTGTCCCTACTGCAGGATCCCAGTCTTGACTGAAAGGGCCTGGTGTGGATGCAGAGAGCCTGCAGGGCTGAACTGTGGTGGGGGTGAGTATTAAATGCTTTCAGCTGCCCTATCTGCTAGAAGGTTCTCTCTGAAGGCACGGGAAGTGCTCAGCTCCAATGCATGGCAGCTGAGACATGCCCCTACCAACCCGGGGACCTCTCAACCAATCACGCCCTTGTCTCTCTGGTCTCTGCTGGGATCATTCCCAGGCAAGTGTATCATACCATTCCCAGAGTTTTCTCATGGCCTTCAGCACTAGTCACTCTCAGCAGTAGCTGGCTGGACAGCTCACCCTGTATCCACTGCTTTCTGTCCACCGGCTCACCTCCCTCCTCCCCTACTTATTTCTGGCACCTACCAAATTAATTTGTGCTCCAACTCTTTTACTGAGAGAGGGGTTGAGCGGACGGGTCCCCCTGCAAGCCACGGCAGGGAGTCCTTTGGCAGCCGAGGGTGCAGCCCGGCTTGATCTCTACTTCAGGGCCAGGAAGCTCTGCTGCCATGAAATCACGTTTGCTGTATGAATTTCATTTGCTTGTGGTGACAGCACTCAAGATCTCCTCTCTTAGCAATTTTGTTATGGCACTGCTTGCTATCACAAGGGTCACAGATTGTTTCATTCATACCTGACACCTCTGCTAGTGAGGTGGGAGGCTGAGGCAGGGGAATTGCTTGAACCAGGGAAGTGGAGGTTGCAGTGAGCCGAGATCGTGCCACTGCACTCCAGCCTGGGCAACAGAGTAGGACTCTGTCTCAAAAAAAAAAAAAAAAAAAAAAGATAAAATGCTAAGATCGGCAGCAGGGTTATCTTTTTGCAGACTGTCATTTGTCTTCTCCCCATGCCGGGACTGCCCCTGCGCCTCTTGCTCCTTATTTTGAAGACTTGATACTGTGGCTTTGCTGCCCCACTGCTGGGTTTCATGGTACGTGACCCTGCCCGCCCACCATGCCTTCCTTGCCTCTCTGGAGATAACTGCATGACAGGCCAGGGGAGAACCCTTTTCTCCAGGGGAGATGTGGTAAAGTCTAAAAGCGTTCCTAAGGAAAGGAGTGACCTGCACCCATTATCATCATCCTGACACAGCTGAGAGGGCTTGGGCTTTCGGCTCCTAAGCAGGCATCCCCTGAGCCTCCTCCAGGAGGGCAGCGTGAACGTTGCTGGAGATCCAACAATCAAGGCTTCTCTAGTAGGATGCGTCAGGGAAGCTGTCTGTTTGAACCAGTCTGCTCCCTGGCCTGGCAGGGAACAGAGAATGGAGGACTTGGATCCTGTTTATCCTTTAGATTCCTTCTGACTTAGAGCTAAAGCCTGGCCTTGGCTACTGGGCATGCTTAGCACTAACAAAGTGTTTCCTTCTCCAGTAGGGCAGAGAGAGGAAGTGAGGGGAGGGAGTGAGGAAGCCGACCGGAGGGTTGTGCAGGGGTGCGGGGGGTGGGGGTCTCTTCTCCGACTCACTGCAATCCTACCTGTTTGCTCTGCATCGCTCCCGTTCCCCTGGAGCCTGGGTTCTAAACATAGATTGCATATTTTATTAAGCCTGTGTTTGCTTTATAACTTTGGTGAAAAGCTGTAGGCAGCAGCAAAATGATCTGTCAAAGGAATTTAAAAGCACATTTCTTTAAGCACAGATGGTCCCCGACTTATGATGATCCAACTTACAATTTTTCAACTTTGCAATGGGTTTATTGGGTGGTGACCCCACTGTAAGTTGTGGGGTGTCTACACACTGGCATTGATTCACATCCTGGGACAAAGGAAGAGGGACCCCCAGAAGGGAAAACTGATTGTGACCTATGGGTGGTAGAACTTAACATCACATTTGCTGTATGAATTGAAGGTACTGCTGGTCACCACAAGTGTCATGGATTGTTTCATTCACACCCAACACCTCTGCTAGTGAGGTGCAGAAAATACAATGCTAAGATTGAAGCAGGGTTTTCTTTTTGCAGACTGCCATTTGTGTTTGTCTGTGGACAGCTGTGTTCAGTACTCACACTGAGTCCTTCCAAGGCTTACAAGCTGGTCCACTTGGACCTTGCAATTAACAGAGGTGTGAGGAAGGGAACATTGTGTTTGTCATGGATCAATGATTCCCTGTGTCTCTCCGCCCAGTCCCCCTTCCCCCATTTTTTTCCTTTTTGTAGAACTTATGCCCCATTTTTATTATGTAACTCAACAGAATGACTCAAAGGGTGATATTTCAGGCAGCAGAATGAGCTGGGGTGGGGGTTTGGGATCGGTGAGGCAAACAGAAAAGTGTGTGGAGAGAGATCTTATCGGGCAGAGAATTTGGGCTCCCTTCATGAATCACTCTGTGCAAACAGCCAGCCATTGGGCCTGCATGTGGGCTGGGTCTTGATTCTATTGAATCAACTGTGACTAAAAGATACGGTAGTTCTAATTTCCTGTGACTCATGAAAGAGCCTTATTGGGCAGGATTTGTTCTAGGCCCCAATCTTTTAGCTGAAACACTTCAACTTTGCTCATGGAAGAGGGGACTTGGGCCGCCAGACAGCTCTTTTCAGTCACACCTCATCGTGAGGTTGCATTTTAGAAAACATGGGCTCAGATTCATCTTTGCTGGATCCAAATTGGCTGAGTTAGCCTACTGATTTCAACCCCCTGAATGAGCTCAACAAATATTTCTGAAGTAGATGCTGAAGTCACACAAGAGTGGAGAAGGTGCTTGTCAAAGTCTTTGCCTTTCTCAACTCCAGGGAGAGGAACTACCTGGGCTTGAGGGTTTGTTTCAGCAAAAATCTAGAATAGGCCACATCATTTTGCACTTAACCATGATGAGGACTTTTATTGCATGTATGAATGTCCCCAGAGGCTATTACTCAAAAGGGCTCAGCTAATAAATAGGAGAACTAATAATTATCTTTTTTCAGATTGCTGACTGTGTGCAACTGCCGCAAGGGGTCAAAAGTGCTTGGTTTGCACAACATCTCCCCGGCATTCTTACACGTGTGGTTATGGAATCAGGGTGCAGGGAAGGGTCATGGAGCAGAGGGAATTGCATGTGCTCGATCTTTTTCACATTGGAGCTGCTTTCTGAAACCCGGCACGGGGAAGGTGAGGGTGCTGGATAGTTTGGGGGGGCCACAGAGTCCTGTGGGTGTTAAATCTCGGTCCCCCTCTGGGGACTTGTCCTTGCAGGGTGCTCATCCAGGCCTTAAAAGTTGGCAGCATCCCCCAGGAACTACCCTGTGAACAAATCCAGGCTTTCGGAAGCACGTGATTCTGCAGAAATGCCACATTCTCTTCCACATGGGCTGTGGGCTCTGAGTCCCCCTTTGCTTCCTCGGCCTATGTACCTGCTGAAGAAGACAGTGTGAGTGAATGTGGGGAGGGTGGAGGCAGCTTCATGCTGGTGTGGTTCCCCTTTTAGATGTTGGTGCTTGACACATGCCCATATTGAAGTGCAGCAGGCACCAGGGCCATAGATGGCTTTGCCCAGAGTGGGAAGGGGCTGCTACATACTGTGCATGATTTAAGAGGTACTGGGAAGTTTAGCTTTGCCCTGAAAACATGCCCCCCTAACTAGCCCCAGTTAGCTGAAATGCTGCAAATAAAGCTGTATCTCCTTTAACTTAAACTGTTATTGGGAAGGTGCCCTGGTTTGGGCAATTCAGCAAGTGTTACCCTTCACTCTATGAGAATGGGTTCTTGGGGTCAGGGCTGTCGAGGTATAACTCACATGCAGCAAAAACTTCCACTTTCTAGGCGCTGAGTTTGGCCAGTGTGTGCAGTCCTGAAGCCACGTCAGGATGTAGAGTATTTCCCTCACCCCAAGGTTCCCTGTGCCCCTTAGAGCTGTGCCCACCATAGCCCTCAGCAACCACGGATCTGATTTCTGTTCCTTCTGCCTTTTTCAGTGTGTCGTGTACATGCAACCTAAGGAGGTAACCTTTTACCCAGCCTGAGACTTCAGAGGGTATTCATATTGGGGACCAGCAGCCCGTGATGTTTGTCCCCCAGAGAGGGGGAGAGAGCTGCTGCCTGCAGAGTGGCTGCTCCTGCTTTGCACGGCCCCTGGCTTCTGCATCCCTCCATCCTCCAGCTGGGCACAGAGGTTGCCAAAAGGGCCAGTAGGAGGAGAAGGCTTCATGGAGGACGGGGGCAAGAGCGGGCCGACCATGCTGGCTTCCTCGCCTTGTGTCTGGCTGACTGCACAGGCCTGAGGAGGTAACCAACAGCAGAAACAGCTCTGGACAAATGAGCAAAGGAAGACTCGACTGAGTTTCCCCAGAATGGAGAGGAGCTGAGGAAGCTCCAGGGCCCACAGCGGAAGCTGGTGGACCATTTCACTAGGACCCTGGGAGCAAATCAGTCTGACTTGTGTTTGGCCCCTGAATCCCCCTGCTCAAGGCTCAGAGTCCTGGAGAATTGAGGGCAACCCCCACATTGCATGCCATGGATGGTGGCTTCCCCAGGGGAGTCGGGGTGCTAGGACTAGAGCATGCCTCCTACAAATGTTGACTTCCCCAGAAAAATACCAGCTCTCTTAAGTAAGGGTGGGTCTATCTGTGGGGATGATAGGGTCACCCTTATTATTCATACGTTCCCTGGGCCTGAGAACTTACCTGGAATACACTTTGTTAAATAGTAATATTTATTCTTATTTGAGTTATTTTTTTCAGGGCTTTTCTCTAGTTGCTGTATTTATCTTCTTTCAGTGTTTCCACATTTAGCATTAGTATTCTCATGTTATATTTGTATGAACACATATACATTTGTTCCCATGCCTTGAGGCCCTTGGTGCTAATTACATTGATATTTTTATGCTTTATTTTTCTTTATTTTTTTAGAGGCAGGAGTTTTTTCTCTGTCACCCAGGCTGGAGTGCAGTGGTACCACCATAGCTCACTGCATCTTGAACTCCTAGGCTCAAACGATCCTCCCACCTCAGCCTCTCAAGTAGCTAGGACTGCAAGCACAAGCCGCCATGCCTGGCTAATTTTTTGTTGTTCTTGTTACTTTTTTGTAGAGAAGACATCTCACTATGTTGCCCAGGCTGGTCTCGAACTGCTAGTCTCAAATGATCTTCCTACCTTGGACTCCCAAAGTGCTGGGAGCACCCAGGCTATTGCATTTTTAGGTTATATCAACTCTGCTACCCTGAGAATTGCCTTTAGACTTTGTTCTTAAATAAACAAAGGACTGAGCTGATCCTGTCAGCCCAGAGCAGCGGCCTGGGAGCCACCATGCGACCCAGCCCTAAATGCCTTGCTTATGATGAAATCTCTTGAAAATAGCCCAACTTCTGTCTCCTGCCTGTGAAGTAAGCATTCTCCTCTAATTCTCAAAGCTGGGATTTTGTGAGAAACTTAAGTTGTCAGGAGCACACTGGGGGAAACATAATTGGAAATACATGTTATGACCCATTAGAATGACAAGTTGTATATATCCATTGTACCCTAAGGCATCCAATATATTCTGCTGTGTTTGTAAGTACTTTAATCATGTTGAAGAATGACATACTGAAACTTGTCCCTGAGATTCACACTTGATCTCAAGTTGATTGAGTTTAGGGAAAAGGGAAAAAAAAAACACATTAGCGTGTTATTTTTGACATTATATGAGGGTTTTCATGGGTGTGAACTGTGAGGGAGGTGTGCAAGACATGTTCCAGCCCAACCCTCGTCCTTATGAGGCTTGCAGGGATGACCCGTTTCCCTAAGGTCACCCAGCTGTGTGAGACACAGCTGGAATTTAGACTAGGGTCTCTTTAGTGTCTTCATTCTGAGTTCTTTTTTTGAATGGGCAACTTCTGTGATTTTGAGCATGACCAGACATTTAACTACAGTGGGTAGAGCCAGCCAAAGGTTGCAAAACTTTTCTACTTCTTTCTTAATGGCTAGAAATTGGTGATCAGAAATAACAAATACATGTCAAAGATGTTGAATTGTATAGCATTTTGGGTTTCAAACAGATATGATACAAAGGTTCAATTATGGCAAGGCTTCAAAGTTAAACTGTTCCTGAAAACAGTGACAAAGAGGGTCCAGGAATGGGAAGGGAAATGTGGTATTATGTTAATGTTTATGTTTGGCTGCAGTTCACCAAAAATGAAGGTTGATACAATTCTCTTTTCCAGGCTGTGTGTAAGTTGGCAAATGACAGGAAGAGCATGTGCTTCTAATCACCCACCCATCTTAATAACGTCGAACAGATACAGTGCAGAAACTATTGCACAACCACCAGCATTTCATTACATCAGAATCCTTGCCAATTTGAAAGAGGTCCTTGAATCCAGGGAGAGTTACATCTTTACGTTTTTGATCACGATCCTCTTGGAAGATACTTATTAGGGCCATTTGTTGATGACAATATTAAGAATTAGCAAATATCTTCTTAAATATAACAAAAATTGAATTGTTTCATTAGAGAACTATAAAGTCTGTTATTTAAGAGGAAACTGTTGTGCTGTTCAAAAGCAGGAAAGAATTGTTGAAGGACTCTTCCTGGTCTCCTTTCTAGAACTGAGGCAACTCAGCTATTGTAGTCAAAAGAATTTTTAAAAAATTAGTAAAGAGAAAAGCAGAATCTTCGTACATTGGTTGCCAACCAAGTCTCCTAATACCTAGGAAGTTATCAGTCATGTCAATGCATTGAATTTAGATTTTTTAAGCTAAAAAAGGAAAGTGAATTATTCTAAGAAGTTCTCCTTTCTCCTCAATATGGGAAAAAGGCCATTTTTGTTGTTTGGGGCCTGTTGTGGGAAAACAGGAGGGTTGTTTGATGAGGAGTCCCCACCTGTAAGTGTGTGTCACCAGACAGCAGGAACTTCTGGGTCATCCCAGGTTCCCTGCAGACCCCTCTTTCTTTTTCTTTCTTTCTTTCTCTTTCTTCTTTTCTTTTCTTTTCTGAGACAGTTTCCCTCTTGTTGCCCAGGCTGGAGTGCAATGGCACGATCTCGGCTCACCGCAACCTCTGCCTCCAGAGTTCAAGTGATTCTCCTGCCTCAGCCTCCTGAATAGCTGGGATTACAGGCATGCGCCACCATGCCCGGCTAATTTTGTATTTTTAGTAGTGACGGGGTTTCTCCATGTTGGTCAGGCTAGTCTTGAACTTCCTAACTCAGGTGATCCACCCGCCTTGGCCTCCCAAAGTGCTGGGATTACAGGCGTGCGCCACCGCGCCCGGCTAATTTTGTATTTTTAGTAGTGACGGGGTTTCTCCATGTTGGTCAGGCTAGTCTTGAACTTCCTAACTCAGGTGATCCACCCGCCTTGGCCTCCCAAAGTGCTGGGATTACAGGCGTGCGCCACCATGCCCGGCTAATTTTGTATTTTTAGTAGTGACGGGGTTTCTCCATGTTGGTCAGGCTAGTCTTGAACTTCCTAACTCAGGTGATCCACCCGCCTTGGCCTCCCAAAGTGCTGGGATTACAGGCGTGCGCCACCGCGCCCGGCTAATTTTGTATTTTTAGTAGTGACGGGGTTTCTCCATGTTGGTCAGGCTAGTCTTGAACTTCCTAACTCAGGTGATCCACCCGCCTTGGCCTCCCAAAGTGCTGGGATTACAGGCGTGAGCCACCGCGCCCGGCTAATTTTGTATTTTTAGTAGTGACGGGGTTTCTCCATGTTGGTCAGGCTAGTCTTGAACTTCCTAACTCAGGTGATCCACCCGCCTTGGCCTCCCAAAGTGCTGGGATTACAGGCGTGTGCCACCATGCCCGGCTAATTTTGTATTTTTAGTAGTGACGGGGTTTCTCCATGTTGGTCAGGCTAGTCTTGAACTTCCTAACTCAGGTGATCCACCCGCCTTGGCCTCCCAAAGTGCTGGGATTACAGGCGTGCGCCACCATGCCCGGCTAATTTTGTATTTTTAGTAGTGACGGGGTTTCTCCATGTTGGTCAGGCTAGTCTTGAACTTCCTAACTCAGGTGATCCACCCGCCTTGGCCTCCCAAAGTGCTGGGATTACAGGCGTGCGCCACCATGCCCGGCTAATTTTGTATTTTTAGTAGTGACGGGGTTTCTCCATGTTGGTCAGGCTAGTCTTGAACTTCCTAACTCAGGTGATCCACCCGCCTTGGCCTCCCAAAGTGCTGGGATTACAGGCGTGCGCCACCATGCCCGGCTAATTTTGTATTTTTAGTAGTGACGGGGTTTCTCCATGTTGGTCAGGCTAGTCTTGAACTTCCTAACTCAGGTGATCCACCCGCCTTGGCCTCCCAAAGTGCTGGGATTACAGGCGTGCGCCACCGCGCCCGGCTAATTTTTTATTTTTAGTAGTGACGGGGTTTCTCCATGTTGGTCAGGCTAGTCTTGAACTTCCTAACTCAGGTGATCCACCCGCCTTGGCCTCCCAAAGTGCTGGGATTACAGGCGTGCGCCACCGCTGCCCGGCTAATTTTGTATTTTTAGTAGTGACGGGGTTTCTCCATGTTGGTCAGGCTAGTCTTGAACTTCCTAACTCAGGTGATCCACCCGCCTTGGCCTCCCAAAGTGCTGGGATTACAGGCGTGCGCCACCGCGCCCGGCTAATTTTGTATTTTTAGTAGTGACGGGGTTTCTCCATGTTGGTCAGGCTAGTCTTGAACTTCCTAACTCAGGTGATCCACCCGCCTTGGCCTCCCAAAGTGCTGGGATTACAGGCGTGCGCCACCGCTGCCCGGCTAATTTTGTATTTTTAGTAGTGACGGGGTTTCTCCATGTTGGTCAGGCTAGTCTTGAACTTCCTAACTCAGGTGATCCACCCGCCTTGGCCTCCCAAAGTGCTGGGATTACAGGCGTGCGCCACCGCGCCCGGCTAATTTTGTATTTTTAGTAGTGACGGGGTTTCTCCATGTTGGTCAGGCTAGTCTTGAACTTCCTAACTCAGGTGATCCACCCGCCTTGGCCTCCCAAAGTGCTGGGATTACAGGCGTGCGCCACCATGCCCGGCTAATTTTGTATTTTTAGTAGTGACGGGGTTTCTCCATGTTGGTCAGGCTAGTCTTGAACTTCCTAACTCAGGTGATCCACCCGCCTTGGCCTCCCAAAGTGCTGGGATTACAGGCGTGCGCCACCATGCCCGGCTAATTTTGTATTTTTAGTAGTGACGGGGTTTCTCCATGTTGGTCAGGCTAGTCTTGAACTTCCTAACTCAGGTGATCCACCCGCCTTGGCCTCCCAAAGTGCTGGGATTACAGGCGTGCGCCACCGCGCCCGGCTAATTTTTTATTTTTAGTAGTGACGGGGTTTCTCCATGTTGGTCAGGCTAGTCTTGAACTTCCTAACTCAGGTGATCCACCCGCCTTGGCCTCCCAAAGTGCTGGGATTACAGGCGTGCGCCACCGCGCCCGGCCTCTGCAGACCCCTTCCTAAGCATCATTCTGCCTGTGGCCCTTGCGGGGGTTTGTATCTGGCACGCTGCGGAGTGAGAGCAAACAGTGTCACCGTCCCTGTAGGGGGCTGCATCGCCTGATACGTGGAAGCTGAAGGGTCTAGATACGCACATGCACGTCTCCCAGGGCGTTGTAGTCTCCTCTAGAAAAAGCTAGTCCTGAGTGAAGCAGGACGTACAAGAGACAAATTCTTATAGCGGCGGAAACCATTTATCCGCATGGGGAATCTGACGACCATTGTAATAAAAGTGAATTGAGACGATTATCTGAATGGTTCAACTGAGTTCAGGGCATGGTATGTTTGGCTCTGCACTCTCCGGATCACTGTGTTACAACTGAAAGAATTCTGAGCTGGGAGCTGGAACCTCTGGGTTTCAGACCCACGTCTGCCACTAAGGAATATGTAAAGACACACTGTGGGGCCCCATTTTCTCCCGTGCAAAATTAGGGTTTCTTACTGAGCTTGAAAGTATGTGCGTTGATCCAAGACAGTCTAGTTTAGCTTTGTATTTTGTGTGTGAAAACACATTCCCTGAGGCAGAAAAAATACCAGCTTTGTGAAACTGTGCAACAGGGGAACCAGAATGGGCACAGATGCTTCTCCTTAGGGATGCTTCAGAATGAGCGGGCTACACCCTGGGGGACCCTAGGAACGCATCTTTATCTATTGGGGGTGGGACTTTCCGATTGTTTTTGAGAATTTATGTGGGGTCAAGAATCTAAGGCACAATTCTAGAGGGGACCTGGTTAGGTTCTTTATCCATAGCTAAAAGGCTTAGAGTCCACCCCGGGATGGTCGAAGCTTTCACCCCCCGGGCTCACTCGCAGGCAGGGGAGGCGCAGGGTGACCAGGGCCCTTTGGCCACGCAGCCCCATGCTTCCCGCACTGGCGGGAACCGTGCTCTAAGCAGAAAGGAGGCTTCTAACTGGGGAAGCTGATGGCACCGAGTGCGTCGCTTCCCAGAGATGTTTTCAGCCCCCACAGGCAGCCGACTTGGTCCCTGTCTGCAGAGAGGGCCTGGCCGGGCGGTCCAGAAAGGCCTCAGGCGCTCGCGCGGAGACCAGGCTGGGCCGGGACGGCGGCGCCGCTGTGCGCTTCTCCCCACCCAGCTGCCCACTGCGGCCTGGAGGGGTTTTCGACGGGGTGGAAGGGACTGTGGCAGTTTAAAGGCGCCGACAGGGAGGGTTGGCGGCGGCTGCGGGGGGCCAGCATGGGTTTCTTTGAAAAGGGATCCACCGAGCCCGGGCCCCACAGCTGCAGCTCCAGGCAGGACTGACAGGTGTCAAAGGGCGAGTCCCAAACCAAACACACCCTCGCCCGCACCCGGCATCCCGCGCCCCCCGCGTCGGCCGAGGGTCACTCGGGTGCCCCTCAGCCTGGTGTTTGCGCAGCTGGGGCCGGGTGCCTTTGCCCGGGATGGGCGCGCTGGGGCGAGGGGAGGAGAGAGGAGCAGGCGGGGGGAGGGGTAGGCTGGAGGGGGGCGGGAGGAGGGCTGGGCGGGGGGAGGGGTAGGCTGGGGGGGGGGGTAGGCTGGAGGGGGGCGGGAGGAGGGATGGGTGGGGGGAGGGGTAGGCGGGAGGAGGGATGGGTGGGGGGAGGGGTAGGCTGGAGGGGGGCGGGAGGAGGGATGGGTGGGGGGAGGGGTAGGCTGGAGGGGGGCGGGAGGAGGGGGGTGGGCGGGGGGAGGGGGTAGGCTGGGGGGGAGGCGGGAGGAGGGGGTGGGCGGGGGGAGGGGTAGGCTGGAGGGGGGCGGGAAGGGGGTGGGCGGGGGGAGGGTTAGGCTGGAGGGGGGGCGGGAGGGGGGTGGACGGGGGCAGGGGCGCGAGCCCTGCCCTCGGCGCGGGGGGCCACTTGGGCGCGGCCAGGCCTGGGGGCCTGGGCACAGTGAGCCCCGAACCCTCCTCCCGCGCCTGCGAGGAAGGCAGTTTTCTGGGCAGATGCTGGAAGGAGCTGTTGGGCTCGAGAGGTCCCACCGCCACCGCGAGGCTGCTGCCTGAGTGCAGGGTCCTGCAGCCGCACCGAGCGGCCCCTCCGAAGGCCGGCGTGCCTGCCGCCAGGTGCGGCTCCGCGGAATTCCAGCTTCGCCTGAACTAAAAGCAGCTGTGCAGCTTTCTGCCTTCATTGAGAAAACGGGAGCTGTGCCGTCGCCTTTCCTCCTGGGCTGCCTCCGACCCAGCACTGAGAAACCGAAACTCCCCGGGGCTGGGTGTGTGAAGGAGGGACAGGGAGGAGGCGACAGCCCAGGACCCTCCAATGCCCCCGCCCCGCCCGCCCAGTGTGATGTCCTTCTAGTCGTGGGATACTGAGCTTGGAAATGGTCATGAAATAGGGGTGCAAAACTCAAGCGACTCTGACAATTTTTTAGAAACGCTTATAGTCCCTGGGGAAACAAAGAAGGGGACCAGAAGCTAGGAGGGGACAGCATCCTACCAGACTCCAGGGTGTTCATTAGCAAGGAAGGATTTATTTTTTCTTTTGAGGGGAGGGCGGAACAGCCGGGATTTTTGGAACACTACCTTTGTCTTTCACTTTGCTGTTTGTGTGTTAACACGAATAAATCAGAAGCGACTTTAAATCTCCCTTCGCAGGACTGTCTTCACGTATCAGTGCAGACAAGAAAACAGTGGCTTTACAAAAAAGATGTTCAAGTAGGCTGCACTTTGCCTCTGTGGGTGAGGCACACTGTGGGAGAGACAAGGTCCCCTGGAACCAGAGGTGGGAAGGACAGAGCTGGCTGACTCCCTGCTCTCCCGCATTCTCTCCTCCATGTGTTTTGAAGAGGGAAGCAACATGTTGAGGTCTGATCATTTCTACCCAGGGAACCTGTTGTCCCCTGCCCCTAGTTGCTGGTCTGTTTCAGGTTTATTTTGGGGTCGGATTATTGGCCCTGTGGGTGCAAATGTCTACCTCTTGCCGTAATTCAACCCTATTATTATCACTCTTTATGATTACTAAGTAGATGTCATCCAAATCAGTCAAGACTCATCATCTGTTAACCTGATTTAGGGAAGATTGTTTCTCTCCCATTCCTGCCAAAAGAGAGCATCCTGAAATAAACGCCACCCTCCTTCCCCACCTCATTATATGTAGAGCTCAAATCATCCTCCTGTCCTGGGTAAGATGGGATCTACCCAAGAATGGCAGCCATGGCAATGAGGCCTGTTTCTAGTCTCTGCATTTCCCACAGTTTGTATTACTCTCTAAAATTTTGCAATCCATGCATTGTTAAAACTGTATTGCCTAGGAACCTACTGAAGAACAGGTGTTCACCCTGGTACTCCCACTGATGAAAATCCTCCGTTACATTTATAATATGGGAAACTGTCTCTCCCTCTCTCCAGGAGGCATTTTCTCTTCAGACTGCAACTGAAACATGCAAGACATTGCCACTGCTTCAAGTGAAATCTTTACAGATGAGGGAAGAGTGAAAAAAATACTACCCATTGGTTCACACCCAGTTGAACTTTTGCATTCCTAAAAAGGTGGATGGTTTTGTTTTGACAAAAACACTATGACATTTAAATTGCTTTTGAAATTGCCCTGAAGACACCTTTGATATTTTAAGATAGTCTTATGACAAAAAAGTTGTCAAAAAAATTGGGGCTCCAACTTTTTGAGCCCCAAATCGAAACCAATTTACCTGAAAATATCTGTTTGACTCTAGGCTTGTTAAGAACTCAACTTGCCTGCTAAGGATTCTTGGGGGAGAGAGGGACACTTCCCTCTCATTTGTTCTGGAAGCACTTAGGTGACTAATTAGAGGAGTAATTGGTTTTCAACTTTTAAAAAGCCCATGAATGGAAGTCCTATCTGGAAATCTGTCTAGCAATGCATCTCATACGGAAATCTGCAAGCCCATTCTATAATACCTTTATCGAATTATTCAGGAAAATATTTTTATCTCCAGAGGAAGTTTCTTGAGACCAAAACCTGAGCCCATTTTTTTGGGAGGGGGGACAGACATAAAAATCTCTCCACTTCCAACCCATCATCACAATGTGTTAAGTCAGTTGTTTTATTAAAAAATAAGCACTATGCTTGGGTTTCATAAAATTTATACATGAATATGTACACAGACACAAATAAAATAATATTAAAAATAAAAATCACACTTGCTTTCAAGGCAGTGGTCCTGGCACCCCACATACATAATCAACTTTTCCTTTAAAGAAATTGCTTGGCCCAAGGAGACCACAGTTAGAGAACCACTAATAAAGCTGTAGCCCGTTGCCTGCAACATTTTCAATTCGGGTTTCAAAAATATATAAATAATTTAATTACAAAACCCAACATTTTTTTTCTCTTTTGGCACAGTGAAGCATCGGTCAATAGCAAGAAATCACTGAAGAGCCTCTGACATGTCTCTCACACTCAGTCATACCTGGAAATGCCACATACGTACACGGATGGGGGCCCAGAAACCCCAAACAGTAGTCATATCATTTATAGTGTGGAAAGGTTCCCTGATGTACTTAGGGGGGAGGGAAGGGACATAAATCAATGGAAGTTGCGACAAAAACAGTAGAAATAAGACGAAGCCTGGGCGTTAAAGAAAGACAAAAAAAGTCCTTATGAAGGGAAGGAGGAGCAGGCTTCGCAAAGAAACTAAAACAAGAATTGCTTTGGTCCTCTGTAAAGTTATAAAACACAAAGGAAAATATCCTGGACTAAGTTTAAATACTCCTGTCAAAATGCTTTAGCTTTAAGGCACGTTTGATGGAGATTTTAAAAATTCATCTTCCTCTGGATTCAAAGTGCAAAGTCCGCGCGCGGGCCCGCGTTCCCGCCTCCCCGACGGCGCGCACTCGGCGTTCCCGGGCCCCGCGGCGCTACTCAGGCTAGGAGCGTCTCCACCGGGTACGGCAGGTGCGGGCCAGGGCGGCGGACTGAGGCCGCCTGCAGGGCTGCGGGCAGCCGCAGGGGGCAGTACAGGTGCGCGCCGCCGGCCGCCGGGCCTCGGAGTGGCTTGGCGGGGGCCGCCGCCGGGAGAGGTGCAAGCAGGAGGGGCGGCGCGGTCGGTGGCACCTCGGCCTCGCGCGCGCCCAGCCGCGCCGGCTCGCCCGCGCCGTACGCGCAGAGCGGCAGCAGGGCCCTGCAGGGCGCCGCGGGGAGGAGCGCGGGGAACGCGGGCAGCGGCGGGCAGGGCGCGGCGCCCCACTGAAGCGTCGTCCCGGGGGCCGTGTCCCTGAGGCGGCGGCTGCGGAAGGGCTTGCGCAGGATGCTGTCGATGGCGAAGGAGCTGGAGAACTTGCCCGCGGGGCTGGCGCGCTCCTCCTGGCGGGCGGGCGAGCGCATGCGGGGCGAGGCCGGGGCGGCGGGCGCGGGCGGCGGGGCGGCGGGGAGGCCCGGGGCCTCCTCGGGCCGCAGCCCGGGCGCGGGGACCGGCGCGCGGTGGCTGAGGCGCTTGCGGCGGCGGCGGAAGACCCCGTCGGCGAAGGTGTACTCGCTGTTGGGGTTGAGCATCCAGTAGTTGTCCTTGCCCCAGGGCCGCGAGGGGTCGCGCAGCACCTTGACGAAGCAGTCGTTGAGCGAAAGGTTGTGGCGCACGGAGTTGCGCCAGCCCGTGTAGCTGCCGCGGAAAAAGGGGAACTTGCCCATGAGGTACTCGTTGATCTCCGCCAGCGTCAAGCGCCCGCCCGCCGAGTCGCGGATGGCCATGGCGATGAGCGCGATGTACGAGTAGGGGGGCTTGGGCCGCCGCGTATATGGCTTGCTGCGTGCACCCTCGCCGCTCCCCGCGCCGCCCGCGCCTGGCCCCGCCGCCCCGGCCTCCGCGCCCTCCGCCACCACCGCTGCAGCAGCTGCTGCCGGGATCGCCTCCTCCGCGCCCGGCCCGCCTCCCGCACTCTGTTCGCCGTCGCCCTGCGTATCTCTGGCGCCGCCGCCCGCGGCCGGGCTGTTGGCCGCGCAGTCCCCATCTGAGCCCAGGGAGTCGTCTCCCGCCGCCGACAGCGGGGACGGCGCGTCGCTGCCGCCCGCGCCCTCCAGGTCACTGCCCTGCTTGTCCCCGTGGGCCGCGCGAGGGACGAACACCTCCAACTTCATGCCCGCGCACCCAGTCCCTCCCCGGCGTCGTACCCTCTTCCTTCGCGCAGCCTAGAGAAGCTGGTGCCAGGGAAGGGGATGGCGATCCGGGGCCGGGGATCTTCGCCTTTTTCTCCCGGGAGCTCTACCCTGGTCTTCCGAGATAGTCACTTTTCCGGAGTCCTCTTCCGCTGGGCTTTTTCTCTGGAGGGGCTGCAAGTGTTGGGTGGACTATGGGGCGGAGAGGGAGGAGTTGGGTGGGTGTCGCCTTCGGTTCGACGTTGAGACTTTGGGGTGAGTGTGTGCAGGGGCCGCGGTTCCACCCTCGGGTGCCCGAGCACGCCGGGCTTAGAAGGCTTTCCTGCCGGAGAGAAGCAGCATGCGCATCTGCTGCTCGTTAAAGAGCCCAGGAGGGGTTCTTCACTGGCGGTCCCAGGTCCCGCGCGGGCGTCTTCGGGGCACGGAAATGGTGCCGGATGATGTGCGTGCCACCGTGGGGGAAGGTCCGGCGCCTTCAGCCTTGAGCACCCGCGGAGGCGAGTCCCCGAGGCCGCTGCGCCCGCAGCCGCCTTCCCGCTCCCAGCCTCCGGGGCAGCATCTCCCCGCTGGCCTGCCGCGGCTGCGTCTCGCCTCCACCTTCGGGCCGGCCCAATATAACCCTGCGGCGGCTCCGCGGGGGCGGGGCCTGAGCGCGGACGGCAAGGGGTGGGGGAACGAGGTGGCCGAGGTGGTGGCGGCTCCCCAGTTCCCCAGCTCCCCAACGGGCGCGCACCAGGCGGAGGCCACACTGCAGCGCGGCGGCAAAGTCGCTGGCGCAGGTTGTTTGTTTTGGGTCGGCCGGCCCCGCCTTCCTCCTCCCGCCAATGGGGAGCGCGCGCGCCGCTGTGGGTTTGCGCGTGTCTGTGAGTGTGCGTGTGTGCGCGCGCGGGGCCGCTCCGCCAGCCGGCTCCTCCGTTCAGGTGTGGGCCCCAGCCCCGGGCAGCCCGCGAGGGCTCCCTGCGCCCTGGAGTTCGGGGACGCAGTTTAGGCGAGTGCGCCTGGTTGGGGGGACACGCCACAGTTCCCCTAGGGGGACACCTGAAGGGACTGGGTCTAGGGGAGCAGGGACTTTGCTCGGGCCTAAGCTGCACGCGGCGTATGTGCTTCTGTAGTAGTGAAAACGATGCTGCTTACGAAAGCAAACCCCTGTCGTCACTGCAGAGGTGCTGAACAGAAATTGCGCAGGACACTTGCAGTGACCTCTTTCGGGAGCCTTGTGCTGTGCCCCTTCCTATGAGCTCCTTTCAAGGACCATCTTGTCTTTTCCTCTTGTTTTAATGAATGCACTCCTGGGCTTGAAATTGTATGCGCCTTTTTGGATGACCTTTACTCTTGCTCACTAAATGGGCTCCGACTTTCACTTTTCTTTGTCTTACTTTACCTTTTTCTTTACCTGGCTGGTGACTCCTGCGGGAGGACAGCAGCGTCCTCCTCTTCCCCTGGGGCGGCTGTGTCTGGCGCAGGGTGCTGGGCTGTGCCTGCACTTGTGTCCCTGCGGAAGCCTCAGATGCCGCCGAGCTCCGCCGCTTGGTTCCCGGGATCTGACAGTCAACAGGAACGACGGAGAGGGCGTGTTCCCGGGGGCGGGGGCAAGAACAAACCGGTTCACGGCCATTTCTTTCCAATATTCCTTTGGGACTTTTGCTGTGACCTCACTGGCACCAGTGTCGGACAATCTCGAAAGGGGGGACCGTTCCTCACCCCAGGGCGCCCGGGGCGTGATCCCCACGCGGCGTCATTAGTCCAGGGAGCGGGCGCCTCGGCCCCGGGAAGGTGCACTTCCAGCCCGCTGCCCTGCCACGCCGAGTTTCCTCCTTTTTCCTGCCTTTGTTGCACAAAAAGCGACGGAGCCGCTAGTAGGTGGGAGCTCACCTTTGATGTTTATTTTATTACTTTCCACCATTTGTGTTGAAAACGTACACAATCCTCTCTTATCTTTATTCAGGGAGTTTTGAAGCCATTCACAATGGGGCGGGCAACATGACAGCCCCAGCCACAGCTCTGTTATTTTTGTATTTGGGGAAGGATCGCGTTCGGAGATTAGACTGACTTTATTAAGTATGCGCCTCGGGAGCCAGGTGGGGAATGGCTGCTTTTTGGGAGATGAGCCTTTCTGGAGGGGTCTGCTCAGCTCTAGCCTTGGAGTTGATGGTTCACTAGACCTGGAGAGGGAAGTGGGATGAGACAAATATGTATATCTATATATATATAGCGAGGTAAAGAGGCTTGGATTTGGCCAGGGATAAAAGGCGTTCGTAATGAATGTTTTTCTCTCTTGAACTCTGGGGTTGGGCAGGGCAGGAGGGCACATGACTATTTGATGGGGAAGGTAAAGCCAAGGAGGCTTGAGGTGGGACCCGTGGTCGCTACAGAGTCCAAGGGAGGCCTCTTCGAGACTCCAGGGCCAAGGTGTCCTGCCACCAAGGAATGCTGGTCGCCGCCAGGGAAGGTGGCTCACCCCACCTCCATGTCCCACTTTCCCCCTTTCTTACCCAACCTCCTCCCCTCCCCAGCTGCAGGGGATCCTCTCCTTACCCTGATTTCATTTGGGGCAAGGGGGGCAAGGACCTGCCCCACCTTTTATGTCTATCCTGTGGGCTGCTGTCTGCAAGTTTGGAGCCTGAAAAGGTTGGGGGGCAAGAGAGTGAGTTGGAGGTGGGTGAATTCTCAGCTGGAAACCCTTTGCTATTTTTAGAGTGACTTAGGGAATGGGCAGGTGAGAGGTTGCTTGCAGCCACCTAAGTGGACTTTGAGAAGGAAGATGGCATGGCAGGCCGTGGACCACCTGGATAGGATTAAAACAAAACAAAAACAAGCAAACAAACAAAAAAAAACCCTACCTCAGCTAGAATGGAAGCTCCACTAGAGCAGGGTTTTTTTCTTTTTTTCTTCATGACTGTATTCCCCTATCCTTGACACATGAATGTGCCATTTGCTGAGGATAACATGATTGTCTTCTGTTAAAACCAGAAATAACACTGCTTTTTCCATTTGTGGTTGATGTCGGTATCAATTTTAGCTGTTGTTTTACAGCGGGGAAATCATTCACCTTTTGCAGCTATCAGAGAAACCGAGAATGTATGGAGCAGGGCGTGTCTATCCACAACACCCTCAAGGCTGAATACAGTTGGGGAGACCAGACGCTGCCAGACGTCACATGCATTTTTTTAAAGTTTCCCAGAAGTGCTTGGATATTTCTGCCCCTTAATTCCCATTCCTTGGGGAGTACATTGATGGGTTAATAAAAAATGCCTGCAGGTGGAGCTTGACCAAACACTTGTAGGTAAGAAACACCTATTAGCTTATTTTCCCCCTTGCCCTTTAATTTCCATGGAGATAAGTGAATAAACTATGGCAAAAGATAAGTTCATATTTCCATGATCGTATGACCTCCCTGAAGTGGTGATTTTAGGAAGATAGTGCATGTATCTCTGGGCACAAAGTAACTTAATTAACTGTGGAAACTATCTGCAAATTTAACGCTTTCCATAATTTGATAGTGCTTCACTGACCCAGTTCCTAAACACTAATCTTGGGAAGAAAATAATTTAATTCCTAAAATACCTAAGGTGACTCCCTGTGGAAATATTGATGACTTGCCCTATGCATTAGAAGATCACGCAGGCTCCCAGCCCAAAGGGACTACAGAACAATCTTGATCACATCCACCCAGCAACCTGGAAACAGCTTTGAATTTCTTGTCGTGTTAACCTCTGGATCTGAAGAGAGGGTAAACTTAAAATTACCTTCCCATGGGGACCTGGGACTCTGGATGAATCTACAGTACAATGCTGTGAAGAACTGAAGAGCCTCAGGCTTAGAGACCAGGCTAATGTTGAGAGTCCCAGGGCAAAATGCATGGCTCTGAATCCTTGCAGAGTCTCCCTAGGGGCATGGAGAGGGCCCTGACTTGGGGCTCGAGGTCAGGTGGCAGTGAAGGGCCTCTACAGCGATAAAGCCCAGCTGCCTCTTTACCTTTCCTCATAGTGAAAATACATGGGAAGAAAAGGAGTGCTTTGTCCAACTCTGTTCTAGCCCATTTCATGGTCTGGTTGATTCTTTTGGTAGATGCTGAACACTGGAAAAATCCTGCAAGGATTGAAGGTGAGTGTGGAAGTAGACGGAGAAAACTTAGGCATTTTTACGTGTCTGTATTTTTGCTTCTTTCCAAAAATGTTTTAATAGGGTCAGGCTCATTTGTTTGTACATTTACCATGTTTGTTTGAACAGTCTTCTTTCGGTTTCTTGAGCAATGGGCATGGTTTAATCCAAGAATCTTAGAATTTGGCTGGGCATTACTGACCAGGTGCAAAACCAAGGGCTGTGCCTGAAGTTTTCTTTTGAGACCTCAGGAATTATAAGCAGCAAGAAAGCCACTGGGTACCCATTGAATTAAGTAGTTATTGGGAGGTGGGTCCTGGGGAGTGGAGAGAGGCAGGGAGGCAGGCCTGATAATGGTGGAAAAGAGAAAAAGAAGGATAAAAGGAGGAGCAAAGATGTGCAGATACAAAGCTAGATCATCTACAGTACGACGAAGGTTAGGGGTCATTGAGAATGCTGCCTGATTCTGTCACTCAGAGACGAAATCCTGCACACTCTAGCACCATGTGTGAAAATACCAATGTAGGAAGGAAAGGCCCGGGGCTGATTTGTTACAAGGTGACAGCTTAGATAGTGGGATCATGGAGTCCATTCTTCAGAACTGGCTAGATCTTAGGAACCTCATTGTCTAGTTTTAGTCCAGTTTTTCTATTACCTGAAGTTCTTTAAATTTTGAGTTTTACAAGCAGAACAAGGAGATTTAACTTCTGTTTGCAATGAGTGATCCAGTTCTCTCTTTTTAACTTTGAGGCTGTAACCATCCACAATAAATTAGTAATCAGACCTTTCCTGATATGTATCAAAGAAGGAGACTGTCTTTCTATGAAGAGAACTGACGCACATCCTTGGAGAGGGCTCCATCATCATACTGTCATACAAATCTGGGCAAAAGAGGGGCAAGTGCCAAATGAGATCCAGTTTGGATACATGAATATTAAGTTGTACAAAAAAAACAAGGTCTTTGCAGGGCTTCCTGTGGAGCTGGGGAAGGGTCTATGTCCCTTGTCTTGGCCAGTAGTCCCTCAAACCTGGATCCACAGTCTAGGTTTATGCATTTGGAGTGGATATGGCGGGGTTAACTCTCCCATTTAATTCCAGAGAAGGCATTACCACTCTAGGTAGGTGTGGGCTTTGGAGACAGATAACCTTGGGTTCGTATCTCTGCTCTACCAGGAAAGTTACCACACCTCACCTTTTTTAAATCTAGAAGAATAACAGTTATAGGGATTTTAAAAACTGAACTACTATGTTCTAGGCCCTTATTAAGTATTATTTATGTCTCTCCTTCCATTTCATACTTGGAAACTTATTTTGGAGGGGTATACTATCTTTGTAAGCCCAGATAGGCAAATTCTTCAGAATTAATCAACCAAGTAAACTTTCCGGGTAAAAACTGGAAAAGTGAAAAATAGTTCCTGGAGGAATGAGATATTTCTTGGGGTCATCTAATCCTAGTCTATGGCCAATACCTAGCCGGTGTTCCAGAAATAAAAAGGAAAGTCAGAACCCCTTGCTTCAATTGTGAACAAGCCCCTTATTCAAAATTTGAGCAGGAGTTGAGTGCACAGTTGGGTTGCTCAGAGTAAAACCCATACTAGTAAATCATGTAGGAACAATGTGAGGAGAATATCTATCTATCTATCTATCTATCTATCTATCTATCTATCTATTCATCCATCCACCTATATCGTTTTTATTAGGCAAGATTTCAAGTATGTATAAAAGTAAAGAGAAAGGCATAAAAAGTAGCGTTCATTGAGAAAAGTGTTCACTGATCCTGGGGTTGTTTATTGTTTGTAGGACATTTTTTGATTTTACCTGGGTCCCTATGCTGAATATCAGTCACATCAATGTAATTACTTATTTGCTTTGTCATTCCTCTGTGTGTGTGTGTGTGTGTGTGTATGTATCTCAATCTTTCTATTCCTATTTCAGAATCTCAATTCCTGTTTTATTACTAACAATGTGATAACTGAAAACAGTTTGAATTTTACTTGTGGGCTTTGTTTTTGTTTTTTGGCCCTTAGGGTGTATATTCCATCATCTACACAGTCAAATTACCAAATTTTAATGTAACTTGAGATAATTGTTCTCTAGTGATTAAGCCGTCAACTTGGTATTCAGTGTCTTAGTCCACTTTTTGCTGCTGTAACAGAATACCTAAGACTGAGTAATTGATAAAGAAAAGACATTTATTTCTTATAGTTCTGGAGACTGGGAAGTCCAAGTTCATGACATTAACATCTGGCAACAGTCATTCCATGATGGAAGGGTAGAAGGTGGAAGTGAGCACAAGGAGGGGAGGGAAGAAGGGGGCTAAAATTATCGGGAACCCATTCTCACAATAACAGCATTAATCCATTCATGAAGGCAGAGTCCTCATGGTCTACTTACTTCTTAAAGACCCCACCTCTTAACAGTATTTGCAATGGCAATTAAGTTTTCAAGAGAAAAACTTTGGGAGCACATTCAAACTATAGCCTTTAGTTAGCACCATCTGGTCCATTTCATTTTTTATTTCCTTCATTTGTTTAACAAGTAAGTAATATTGACTTTTTTTTTCTTAAGAGACAGGATCTCTCTATGTTGCCCAGACTGGTCTCAAACTTCTAGGCTCAAGCTATCCTTCTATCTCAGCCTCTTGAGTAGCTGGGACAACAGGTATGTACCACTGTACCTGGCTTGAATATTGACCTGGTTTTAAAGTCAAAGGTATAATATGAAGCATATTCAAGGAAATTTAGTTTTTATCCATATTTTTTCCACCTTGCTCCTTCCTCCACCCTATAGGTAACCATTTGATAAAACTTTTAAAATTACCCTTTATATTAGTTTGCTAGGGCTGCCAAACAAAATATCACAGACTGGGTAGCTTAACCAACTGAAATTTATTTTCTTACGGTTCTGGAGGCTGAAAGCCCAAGATCAAGGTGTTGGCAGGGCTAGATTCATCTGGGATCTTTCTCCTTGGCTGGCTGTCCTCACATGGTCTTCCCTCTGTGCATGTGCACCTCTGGTGTCTCTCTGTGTATCCACATTTCCTCTTCTTATAAGGCTAGCAGTCAGATTGGATTGAGGCCCACCCTAAAGACCCCTCATTTTAATTTCATTACTTCTTTAAAGACCTTATCTCCAATCCAATACAGCACTGAGGTACTGGGGCTTAGGACTTCAACATATACATTTTGAGAGGACACAACTCAGCCCATAACATACTTCTATTTAAAATAACTAAGCCAACATGGATGTATTTATATATCCCTCCATGTAGGTAGTGTTAAAATTTTATATACAGTTAGTTCTATCTACTTTATTTTCTTAACTTTTCAAAAAATCCTGGAATTCACTCCATGGCAGTATATAGAGATATTCTTATTTGTAAGATAATATTTTGACTGTTAATTGAGCACAGAATTTTCTGACATTGAAGGAAATGTATTGATTTTTTCATTCAGCTTTATGAGTTCAAAGATGGTAGGAAAGATATATGAGCCATAAAAATGGACAACCATGTATGGTTGGAATGCCCTTGAGGTCCTCATGTGTGCTGTCCTCTGACTTCATGACCTTTCTTGTTACATGGCCTATTTCCCCATGTAAACCAGAGACAAGAATATACATAAGAACAGCTTGGCCCAGAGACATGCTGTGCATACATGAGGTAGGACAGTATTCTGACCTTATCAGAGGTCAGTGATGCTATCTGGGCATGGATATCACAATATCAAGACCTTGGCAAGTGGAAATGGAAGCCGTGTAGTGGGTGGTACATGTTGCATGGTACACAGAGGGTCTTTGTAAAATGATATGCCCAGTTGTTCATGAGAACATTTTGTAGTTTTATTTATTTTTTTAAAATTATATATTTCTTATTTTTGTAGATTTGGGGATACACGTGCAGTTTTGTTACATGGACGTATTTCGTAGTAGTGCAGTCTGGGCTTTTTGTGTAACCATCACTCAAATAGTGAACATCGTACCCATTAGGTAATTTTTCAGCCCTCACCTACTTCCCTCCCACCTTTCTGAGTTTCCAGTGTCTACTAATTTTACTATGTCTGGGCTGGGCACGGTGGCTCACGCCTGTAATCCCAGTACTTTGGGAGGCCGAGGCGGGCGGATCAGGAGGTCGGGCGGATCACGAGGTCGGGCGGATCACGAAGTCAGGCGATCGAGACCATCCTGGCTAACACGGTGAAACCCCGTCTCTACTAAAAATACAAAAAAAAAAATTAGCCAGGCGTGGTGGTGGGCGCCTGTAGTCCCAGCTACTCAGGAGGCTGGGGCAGGAGAATGGCATGAACCCAGGAGGTGGAGCTTGCAGTGAGCCGAGATCAGCCCACTGCACTCCAGCCTGGGTGACAGAGCAAGACTCCGTCTCAAAAAAAAAAAAAAATTTACTGTGTCTGTATGTACATATTAGTTAGCTCCCACTGGTGAGCAAGAACATGTGTTATTTGACTTTCTGCTTCTGAGTTATTTCATTTAAGATAATGGCCTCCAGTTCCATTCATGTTGCTGCAAAAGATGATTTCATTCATTTTTATGGCTAAGTAGTATTCCATGGTATGTATATACCACATTTTCTTTATCCAATCATACATTCGTGGACAATTATACTCTTTATCCAATCATGTATGATTGTCCATCAATGTATGATTGGATAAAGAAAATGTGGTATATACATACCATGGAATATGTATATACCACATATACATATAGGTTAGTTCTGTATCTTTCCTATTGTGAATAGTGCTGTGATAAACATATGAGTGCAGATATCTTTTTATATAATAATTTATTTTCTTTTAGGTAGATACCCAGTAGTGAGGTTGCTGGATGAAATGATAATTTGATTTTTAGTTCTTTGAAAAATCTCCTGTTTGCCATATAAGTTGTACCAATTCACATTTCTACCAACAGTATATAAGCATTCCCTTTTTTCTACATCCTCACTATCTGTTATTTTCTGACTTTTTAATAATAGCCATCCTGATTAGTATAAGATGATCTCTCATTGTAGTTTTAATTCATCTTATGTCTGATGATTAGTGATGCTGAGCATTTTTAAAATATGCTTATTGGCTATTTATGTGTCTTCTTTTGAAAACTGTTCGTGTCCTTTGTCCACTTTTTAATGAGGTTATTTGTTTTTTACTTGTTGAATTGTTTGAGTTCTCTATGGGTTCTAGATATTAGTCCTTTGTTGGATTCATGGTTAGCCAATATTTTCTCCCATTCTGCAGGTGGTCTACTTACTCTGTTGATTATGTCTTTTCCTGTGCAGAAGCTTTTTAGGTTTAATTAAGTCCTATTTCTCTATTTTTGTTTCTGTTACATTTGCTTTTGAAGTATTAGTCGTGAATTCTTTGCCTAAGCCAATATTCAACAGAGTTTTTTGGCCAGGTGTAGTGGCTCTTGCCTGTAATCCCAGCACTTTGGGAGGCTGAGGTGGGAGGATTGCTTGAGCCCAGGAGTTCAAGAGCAGCCTAGGCAGCATAGTGATACCCTGTCTCTACAAAAAAATTTTAAAAATTAGCCAGGCATGGTGGTGTGCACCTGTAGTTCTAGCTACTCAAGAGGCTGAGGCAAGATAATCGCTTGAGTCCAGGGAGTTGAGGTTGCAGTGAACCATGTTTGTGCCACTGCACTTCAGCCTGGGTGTGAGAGAGAGACTCCATCTCTTTAAAGAAAAAGAGTTTTTCTTAGGTTTTCTTCTATAGTTCTTATAGTTTCAGATCTTACATTTAAGTCTTTAATCCATTTTGAGTTGATTTTTGGATATGGTGAGAGATATAGCTCCTATACTTATGCATATGGCTATGCAAGTTTTCCAGCACCCAGCATCATTTATTGAACAGGATGTCCTTTCCCCATTGTATGTTCTTGCTGCCTTTGTGGAAGATCAGTTGGCTCTAGGTATGTGGCTTCATTTCTGGGTTTTTTATTCCATTCCATTGATGTATATATCTGTTTTTAAACCAGTACCATACTGTTTTGGTCACTATAGCCTTGTAGTATAATTTGAAGTTAGATAATGTGATGCCTCTAGATTTGTTCTTTTTGCTTAGGATTGCTTTGGTTATTTGGGCTCTTTGGTCCCATATGAATTTTAGCATTTTTTTTTCCAATTTTGTAAAAAATGATGTTGATATTTTGATAGGATTTGCACTGAATCTATAGATCGCATTGGGCAGTATGGTCTTCTTAACAATATTGATCCCTCCAATCCATGAGCATGGGATATAGATGACACAAACATTTGTGTCATCTACAATTTCTTTTATCAATGTTTTATAATTTTCTTCGTAGAGACCTTTTATCTCCTTCATTAAATGTATTCCTAAGTATTTTATTTTATTTTTTAATTATTTTTGTAGCTGTCGTAAATGGGGTTGAGTCCTTGATTTGGTTCTCAGCTTGGTCATTACTGGTGTATAGAAATGCTACTGATTTTTGTATGTTGATTTTGTATCCTGAAACTTGACTGAATTCATTTATCAAATCTAGTGATAGTTGGAGGAGTCTTTAGGGTTTTCTAAGTATAAGATAATATCATCAGCAAACAGAGATAATTTGACATCCTCTTTTCCAATTTGGATGCCTTTTATTTCTTTCTAGTGCCTGATTTTCTGGGTAGAACTTCCAATGCTTTGTTGAATAGAAGTGGCAAAAATGGGCATCCTTGTCTTGTTTTAATTCTTAGGGGAAATACTTTCAAATTTTCCCCATTCAATATGATGTTGGCCATGGGTTTGTCATATATGGCTTTTGTTGTTTTGTTGTTCTATGCCTAGTTTGTTGAGAGTTTTTATCATGAAGGGATTCCGAATTTTATCAAATGCTCTTCTGCATCTGTTGAGATGATCATATGGTTTTTGTTTTTAATTCTGTTTATTTGGTGAATCATATTCATTGATTTGAATATATTGAACCATCCTTGCATCCCTGGAATAAATCCACCTTGATCATAGTGCATGCTATGGTTTTAGATGATCTGACCATACATCTCAGTTGCTCAGAACAATGTCCACATGTTTCCTCTGTGCCATTATTAAGATGGTCCCCTTCCCCTTTTAAAAGCATCCTGGGACAATAAATTCTATAGGCACTCTAGTTTTAGAGGTCCAATAAATAAAAAATAAACTTATGGTCTATGTGTTAAAAATATTAGGGCATGGCTTTCTAAGCATGGCTTGAAATCTGAGTTCTACACTATTCCTAATTAGTTCTTTGGCAAATTCTGATGCTAAGCCCAAATATTCCTGTTCTGAGGTCTCCTTTATCCCTTTCATAAATGATCCTGTGAGCTTTGGACTTTAGGGTTCAAATTTAGCCTGGAGAAGACTTGTGATTGTCTTTCAAGAAGTTGTTAGCTACTTTGTAATTAACTCAACCTTCAAGGATGGAGGTTGTATTACTACCTGAAGTAGACTGTACACCAATCTGTTGGTACACTCTGACTACCTGGAAAGGGTTGACAGAATTATATAAGGCTACATCACTAAATGGGCAGAATTTTAACACTGAGTGTAATGCTCAGAATCCATGCTGGCAAGGCAGACTGAATTAGCATTATATTTGCTTGCAAAAATGAAAATAACCTGTCTTACATAATACTGACAATATTTTGCTGTAATTCTGCCTTTTGAGCTTAGTGAAATTCCTATAACTTCTTTGCCAAGTTATTTCCAAGCTATAGGAATGTAGACATCTATCTGTGTTACTATTACTTTCATATACAAATAGAATTGCATCTCAAGTTTACAACCTTAACTTTCAAAGTCCTTTACATGTTAAGTTTTTTTTTTTTTTTTTTTTTTTTTACATTGCCTTTACAATTCACTTACAGTCTGTGAGGCCAACTTTGTTGTCAGGCCAGATTATAATCAAGCTATTCTTTGTTGAACCAATATGCCCTCTCAGGGAATGATCGTAATCAATCAATGGTTTTACCATTTAAAAATTCCCTATCAGGGAGTTTGAATTATTTTTCTTCCCTTTCATTTTTGTTTAAGCTCTATTGTTTTTTGAGCTAGATAATTTTCTTTGAGCTGGAAAATTATCCTAATCTTGGTTAATAAATATTAGACTAGTGCTAGTGATACTACATTAATAGAGAAGAATGTGCAAATTATGATATGCAATTGGACTTAATGAAGAATAATGGTGTATTTAAGAGTGTTCAAAAATTCAGAATTTCCACAAAGCCTCTATCTAATTCTTTAATCTTGGTGAAATTAAACTGAGTATTGATAGTGAAGCAATAAGGAAAAATATGAGGATGTTATAATTCTTTTCATGGAAAATGTTTCAGATCCAGAATCAAATCCTCACATTTAGATTTGACCTTGGGCAGTACCTCCTTTACTGGGCTGGCAAAAGGTTAAATGAGTTAATGATTGTGAACTGCATTGTTGCAGGTTGGATTCTGCCAGCTTTGATGGCTCTGACAGTGCTTCCAGTTCTGATGGCCTATTTCCAGATTTTTATCTTAGAGACAAAGAAACCTCGATCTTGTCTAAATCTCTGTTATTGTGGAGTTTAATTCTCTTGGAACCTAATCCCAACTCATAAAAGGTCTCATCTACTCTTATCATATAATTTTTTTTATTACTTGGCATTTCATAGATCATGAGTTCCATGATGGTAGAGATCATTCTTTTTGCTTGTATATGTCCTGTAGCCTCTGTCACTTAAAAAAGTTACTCAGTTTACATTTTTAGTTGAATAATTTACCACATAGTTCATATGTTTAAAGCATGTAAAAGAATTTTTTATGTTGGAAAGTTTCAAGTTGTCATAAAAGTAGATAAAATAGTTCAGTGGGTTCCCGTGTACTCAATATCCAGCTTCAACAATTATCAACTGATGACCAACATTGCTTTATCTTCTCTTTCCCCTGCTGCCTACATTTTTAAAAGACCAATATCAGACATCGTATAATTTTATCTGTAACTTTTTTACTATGCACTTCTCACAATAAGAATCAAACATAACCACAATAACACATTCGTACCTATAAAATTAACAGTAATTTTTAAATGTCATCCAATACTCAGTGCATGTTCAAATTATCACTTATCCCAAAAATGTCATATGGTTTAAAAATCAATTTTGTTAAGGTATGTCTTACACACAATAAGATCTGCCTATTTTAAGAGTACATTTAAATGAGCTTTGACAAGGGTGTACACACCTATAACCACCATCATAATCAAAGAGAATATTTTGATTCCACAAAAAGCTGCCTCATCTTCCTGTAGTCAATTCTACCTCCCTGCCCCATCCTTAGCCCCAGGCAACAGTGAATGTGCTTTTTGTTACATTATATATCACAAATATACCTGTATGTGTGTGCGTGTGTACATATATATAAAATATACATGTTATTTTATATTTATATATATAGCCACTTAAAACTTTTCCTGCTTATAAATAATTTTTAGCAATTTGATTATGATGTTATTTGTGTTTATCTATCTTGGGTATCATTGAGCTTCTTGGATCTGTGGGTTTATCGTTTGCATCAGAAATGGCAAATTTTCAGTCACGATTTCATCAAAAAAATTTTTTTTGCCACCTTCTATCTTCTTGGGCTCCAATTACATGTATGTTTGACTGATGGATATCATGCCACAGGTCACTGAGTTTCTGTTTTTGTTTTTGTCTTTTCTCCTCTCTGCTCATTAGTTGAATATTTTCTACTATAGTGTCTTTGTGTTCACTGATCTTTCTTTTGTAGCATCTGATCAACTGTTATGATTGTACAATGAATTTTTCCCTGCAGAACTTGTATTTTTCTTTTCTAGAATTTCCATTTTAGGCTGGGCGTGGTGGCTCATGCCTGTAATCCCAGCACTTTGGGAGGCTGAGGTGGGCGGATCACGAGATCAGGAGTTTAAGGCCAGCCTGACGAATATGGTGAAATCCCATCTCTACTAAAAATACAAAAATTAGCCAAGTGTGGTGGCACACGCCTGCAATCCTAGCTTCTCAGGAGGCTGAGGCAGAAGAATCGCTTGAACCCGGGAGGTGGAGGTTGCAGTGAGCTGAGATCGCACCACTGCACTCCAGCCTGGGCGACAGAGCGAGACTCCATCTCAAAAAAAAAAAAAAAATAATAATAATAAAATCATTTTCTGCTGTTCCCAGCATCTCTGTTATTTATCTCTGTTTCTTTTGACTGATTTTTCCTTTTGCTATGGGTCATAATTTGGTGATTTTTTGCATGTCTAATAATTTTTTGTTGGATGCAGGACATCATGAGTTTCTGTTGTTTAGTATTTAGATACAGTTGTCTTCCTTAAAAAATTCTGAAATTTGTTTTGGCAGACAGGTAAGTTATATGTAAGTTATATGTTTACTGATTAATCTTTACTAGACTTGCTTTAAAGCCTTTTTAGAACAATTCTAGAATAGGCTGTTCTTCAGGGCTAAGTTAGCTCTAGTACTAAGGTTTGATCCTTCTGAAATCTCTACATATTGCTCTGAGTGTTCCAGAAGGTGTATCTGCTCTGGCTCGTTAGAATTTGCATGCCTCTCAGCCTTGTGCAAGTCTGGGAATGGTTTTGATTATAGTTCTTCCGTTCTTTATCTAGCCTTGTGGATCTTCCCCCTATGAATGTACAGATTAATATTCAGCCAATGACTCAAGGGGCCACCTCTGTAGATCTCCGTAACTCTTTCTTTGCACAATTCACTTGTCTCTGAACTTGGCTCTACCAATTCCAGCTGGATCAGCCTCTCCAAAGCCTGATCTGTTTCTCTTCAACTCAGGGAGATTGTGGTGCTTTTCCTGGCCTCCCCTGTCCCTTTCATGCTGTTTAAAAGTCGCTGTCAGGCAGAAATCCAGGACAGTTGTAAAACTCAGCTCCTTTGCTTTCTTTTCTCAGGATCATAGTCTTACATTGTTTGATATCCTGTGTCTGAAAAAGATGTTTTTAAACATTTTTGTATAATTATCTTTTAGTTTTGGAGGGGAAGAAAATCCTATACCAGTTTCTTCTTCATGGTCAAAAATCAAAATCACGCATTTTAAAAACCGTTTATGCATTTTGAATCAGGACTCAAAGTAAGCATGTTTATATTGGTCAGTGTGTCTTCCTACCTTTATTTAATAAGTAATTAAGTCAATCCTTTACCCTTCACTCTCTCTCTCTTTTTCTTTCCATCCTGTTTTGTTGAACAAAACCTGAAATGTTTGTACAGTTTCCAACATTCTGGATTTTACTGATTGCATTCCCATGATGTCTTTTAACATATTCCTCCACATACATTTCCTGTTAATTGGTAATTGGATTTAGAGCCTTGATCATATTCAGATCAGATTTTTTTTTATAAAACTACATTAAAGGTATTGTTTGCTTTTCCATCACAAAAGGAGCCCATATTGTCTCTCTTTTTGTAATCTTAGCAGCTACTGATGCTCCATAACTAGATCAAAGCACTGCTTTTAATTTGCTAGTTTATCAGACACTGGGCTTTAGCTGGGTTCAATTTCTAGACTATGCAAATGGCACTATTATTTCTAGCTATGCACTTGTTTTCAGAATATCAATTACAATGATAAATTGGAGCTCAAATACAAAGTAGATTTTTTTTAACTTGCTCAAGAAAAAGTTGGCTAATTTTTACCAATTGGCGGGAGGCCAGCCTCAATTATATCAATCCATATGTTACTTTCAACGTTATGCTCCTTTCAAGGTTATGCTCCAGCTAAAGTTGGGCTCAAGTGGTACTGCCATGAGAGAAGGCACCCTTAGATTGCCTTCAGTTAAACAAGAATGGCTTTACGTATTAGTCATAAGACAGGGATGCTTTTGTAGTGCTTAAGGGTATGTACAAGCTGTTTGTAGTCTAAATTTACTTAAGGACTTCCTTTCATGCTAGTTTATGGGGCTGATTTAGGAACACAGGATTTTCCAAGCAAATGTGAGTGTCTGTCCCAGCTCTCGTACTAGTAAGCATGGGATTATTTATTTCTACACAGCACTTTCTCTAATGCCCTTTCACATCTTCTTCCTTAGGATGTTTCTTTGATACTATCAGACTAATTTTGTAAGACATAGAAACTGGGGCTCAGAAGATTCAGGGACTTGGAGAAGGTCATTTAGCTAGGCTCCCTCCTTCAGTCTCCTGATGGTGTCACGCCTGTGCCCCATGCCCTGAAACACAGTGGGAAAGGTCTCTTTAGTCTCCCCACTCACCACACCTGTGCAGAAGAACCAGCCTGTATGTTGACATGTCTTCACTGGTCTGCTCAGTAAGTCGTGTGTGTAGGCATACTCCCGAAAGTGGTTCTGAGCTGTGCGGGCAGTCTGTCTGGTTCCTCGTACTAATCTACGGTATCCCTTGTCCTTCTGGAATGCGCCCAAGATCTTTTGTCTATTTGGTAAAGCACAATATTTGTTTCTCAAGCTCTGTGTTGTTTGTTTTTGGAGTATTGTGGTATTAGTATTCCTTCCTCCACACACTCCAGGTACACCTTAGAGGGCAATCTTTTTCTCTCCAAGTTAAAATATTTGTTTAGTGTGGGATTTTTCGTCTCAACTTTCTGGAAACTATGTTTTAAAAGCTACTTCAGCCATCTAAGCTAAGGTGTGGTGACAACCTCTCAGAATTGATGTGGCTAGGCCTTGGCATACTGCCACACGAGACCTGATTTTCTTTACTTCTTCGTCTCACTCTCTTAAGGGAAGTAAAACTCAACTTTATTTTCACCATCATGAAGAAGTACAGCAGCCATCCAGCCCCGATTTTGGGAATAGCCTTACTTCAAATTCTCTGACTAATTACACAAACTAATGAGATGCTCTGGAATTCTGTACAATTCAATGTTCTGTCTAGGTCTTCCCACCTGTCTGCCTCCCTGGAGGAGAAATGGCACAGAAACATCTTTTGTAAGATGCCGTGTCCTGTTTGTTGATTCTAAAACTATGGTCATTAAATTTTACTGCGTGAAATGATTTGTCTTGGCTGGGGTTTCCCTGAGACACAGCGTGAGAGGGGCTGCTGCAGGTAGCTTATGTGAGAAATGATGCCAGGGAGCAGAAGTCAGGAGCAGGGAGAGGAAGGCAGGGGAGGGAAGCAAGGAGCCCTAAGAAATGGATTTAGGAGCTGTCTGCTTTTCCCTGGAGGGGTGAAGACTTTTCCATGATTCCATCTCCCATTTGGCAAGGGCCCCTGTACTTCCAGATTTCTCCTGTGTGAGCACCTAGAGGTCCTGGCAGACATCAGAGAGGGCTGGGGTCAAGGTGCTGAGGAGCTGTACCTACAAAGAACTGGTCACAGCAGAGGCTGGAATGAGAGTTGGGCTGAGGTTACAACCAGATGAGGAAGATTAGGGTGAGAAGTAGGCTCAGGCTAGAATGAGGTGGGCTGAGGCTAGAATGAATTGTGGTAGTTCCCACAGAGAGGTTAGATATTTCCTTGGGGGAGGGGAAACAAATGTCAGCATACATCTGTTTAATTGAAAGCATCTCACAGTTTTACCGACTTCAATTTATATTGATAGCTGAGTAAAGAAGAGAGTGTTGGCATTAATAGTGCTGCTTAGCAGCTCCCTCCCTGGCATTCCATTTCCATGTGTTAAGGGTTTAGTGTGGATCTGGCTGTGGCACTGGAAGCAGTGTGGGATCCCATGGGGAATGCACAATTCAGCAGTAACCGGTTTGAGGGCTGCAGGGTTTACCCTGATGCTGATGTCAATTATAGCAAATTGTAGGTCCTTTTCGATGTTCTCTTTATCTTTTACTATTTTTAAAAGCCATTTAAGGATTGTATGTAAGCAATGGAATATTATTCAGCCATAAAAAAGAATAAAACCAGTTGAATACAGGTTAACTTGTACAAGTTCCTGTGATACAGTATCACATTTTCTTCATCCATTCATCCACTGAGGAATACCTAGGTTGATTCCAAATCTTGGCTATCGTGAGTAATGCTGCAATGAACACGGGAGTGCAGATAGCTCTTTGACATGCTGATTTCCTTTCCTTTGCATAGATACCCAGTAGTGGCATTGCTGGATCACATTTTAAATTTTTATTGAAATTTAAAAATTGTTCTATTTTTAATTTTTTGAGGAACCTCCATGCTATTTTCCATAAGGGCTGCACTAATTTACATTCCCACTGATGGTGTATGAGAGAGTTCCTTTTTTCTCTGCATCCTTCCCAGCATTTGTTACTTTTTGTCTTTCCGATAATAGCCATTCTAACTGGGGTGAGACAGTATATGGTTGTGGTTTTGATTTGCATTTCCCTGATTAATGATGTTGAGTATTTTGTGATATATCTGCTGGCTACTTGTAAATCTTCTTTGGGGAAATGTCTATTCAGGCCCTTTGCCCATTTTAAAATTGGATGATGATTATTATTATTATTATTTTTGCTGTTGAGTTGTATGAGTTCCTTATGTATTATGACTATTAATCCCTTGTCAGGTGCATAGTTTGCAAATACTTTCTTCCATTTTGTAGGTTGTCTCTTCACTGTGTTGATTGTTTCCTTTGTTGTATGGAAACTTTTTAGTTTGATGTAATCCCATTTGTCTATTTTTCCTTTTGTTGCCTGTGTTTTTGAAGTATTTTCCAAAAAATCTTTGCCTACTCCAGTGTCATGAATAATTTTCCCTATGTTGTTTTTCTAGTAGTTTCATAGTTTCATGTCTTACATTTCAACTTTTTATCCATTTTGAGTTGACTTTTGTATACGGTCAGAGATAGGCATCTAGTTTCATTGTTCTGCATATAAATATCTAGTTTTTCCAGCATCTTTTATTGAAGAGACTGTCCTTTTCCCAGTAAGTGCTATTGACACCTTTGTTGAAAATCAGTTGGCTGTAAATGCGGAGATTTATTTTTGGGCTGTCTACTTTGTTCTATTAGTGTATGAGTCTGTTTTTATGCCAGTACCTTGCTGTTTTGGTTACTATAGCTTTGTGGTCTCTTTTAAAGTCTTCTATCTCTTTCCAGCAGTGTAGTCTTGTCAAGCTACTTCATCTCCCAGTAGCTGTTTCCTCACTGGGAAAATAAGAGTTGCAGGCAGGATTAAATTCAATATGAATTTAATTTCCTGAAAAAGTCTTCTTAGGACCATTGCTCCATAAATAATGAAGATTTTAGAGAATAAGAATGTGATTTATGGGAGCCATATGTTGTTGGGTGCTGCATCCTTGGCAGTTTTCTATATTTTTCCTGTGGGGAGGCTCAACAAGTCAATGAATTGTGACATGCCCTCACCAGAGGCTGCTTCCATGGTGTGTGTGGTTTGAGACTGAAGATGCTCAGTCTAGGCCAAATGTCTGATCTAGCCATTTTGCCATTTCACATCAGCAAAGGGTGTGTGTGTGTGTGTGTGTGTGTGTGTGTGTGTGTGTACAGTGAGGGCGATGGGTGCAGAGCTTTTTCGACACTAACCCTTTCTGGCAGGAACCTTCCCACCTCAGTTGACGTGGCTCTTTCTCCTGTCTCTCTACCACTTTAGCTTCTAATATTTTTAGCTCTGAGGGCTGACCATGGCAATGAGCTTTTTCACCAGGCACATGACAAGTGTGTGAGACCCTCAGGGGGTCTGAGTTTGTCCTTGGACCAGGCCATCCTGCGAAGTCTCTGTCTTGTTCCTCCTGATGGAATCTGGCCTCACACACTTGGCCCCTGAAGAGGAGCTCGTGTCCAGAATGTGTGATGTGGGAGGGGGATGATTGTCCCACTCCTCTCCCCAGCATCAAATTGAGCCTCTGGGAAACTGTGACTTCAGCAGAATTCCTTAAAGAATGTTGGTGCCTCACTTCACGGTTAGGGTAGGGTGGAAGGAAAGATATTCTGGCAGCAGGCTCTTGAGTTCCTACTGGGTGGACATGCTGTCTTAGCTGACAAGGGTAATTATTGTTCCCCAGGCCATTGTGATGGAGTTGAGAATAGCAAACCTAGATGAAATGACTTGAGATGCTTAGAAAGGAATTTAGCAACAAGTGGAGAGTAATATAGTGAAGATCAAGTGCTGAGTGTCTACCAGGAAAGAACCCATCCAAGTCAGTTCCAAATCCCTTTGCAGAGACTTCCTGATTAGGTGACTTTTGAAAGGGTTTTGGAGAAACTTTTCTTCTACGGAAGTTCCTGGAGCTTTGACTCCAGGCCACAGCCAACACATCCTGGTGCTGCAGGATTACAAAAATCACCCTCAAGGAGGAAACTGTAGACCTGGATTTTTGGAAAAGAAGAGGTAGGCTGGTGTGATTCTCTATGACATGCAAGTTGCACCCTGGATTGCCTTTCTGTTCGTGAGCACTTCATATTTGCTGGCAATTGGGCAACCAGTGCCATCACCTCATTCACTCCTGACAACAACTCATGTATACATGGGTGCCACAGCCAAGCAAGGGTGGGCAAGCTGCCCAGAGTTAAGAGCAGAATAGGGGTCCCGGTCCAGGGTGGTCTGACCACAGAAGCCCTGCTCCTTACACTGCATTTGTTTCCTGCCTTGTAAGAAATGACACAGCCCCATCTAGGACATGAATGAGGATCTGTTAGGCACCAGGCACCATTCAGAGCCCTTGGTCAACATTTTCCCACACAGTCGTTTGGGAAACCTAGTACAGTCCACTAGGTCGGTGCTGTTATTGGCCTGGCTGTCAAGGAACAACAGGTATAAATATAAAGCTAATGGTAAGCAAGGTCCCTCCCGGTGCAGTGTGCCTCTCAGTCAGCTGCATGCTCAGCCACGTTACCCAAGTTATATCCTGCTTGGATGCCCAGAAAGGCTTGATAAAAACATGATGTGTAGAGTCTGAGTGAAGTGTGTATGTGAGTATATGTGTGCGCATGTATGTATGTGAGTATATGTGTGCGCATGTATGTATGTGCATGTGTGTGCATGTATGTGTGTGCGCATGTATGTATGTGAGTATATGTGTGCGCATGTATGTATGTGAGTATGTGTGCACATGTATGTATGTGAGTATATGTGTGCGCATGTATGCATGTGCATGTGTGCGCATGTATGTATGTGAGTATATGTGTGTGCATGTATGTATGTGAGTATATGTGTGCGCATGTATGTATGTGAGTATATGCGTGCGCATGTATGTATGTGCATGTGTGCTTACATTTGCATCACATATGTATGTGTCTGTGTGCACATATGCACGTGTATACATGTGCCTGTGTATGTGCACATAAACAGTGTCTTTGAGGGCTTGGCAATCTGTGTTGATGTTATTGAAGCTCTGCACCTGACTTCTGGTCACTTTTCTGTTACTGACCAGCTAAATAACTTTGAGTAAGTCATTGAACTTATTTGGACACTAGTTCCATCAACTGTTAGATATGAGGATGGGAATGGATTGTCTCAAAGATCCTTTTGAGTTCAAAAAGTCTATGATACCAGTGAGAATGTTCCAAAGCCTTAATGACACCTCACTGAATGCAGCTTAAAATGGCTGCAAGCTGACCAGACGATTGCATTCTCCAAGGTGAGCTGCCCTTCATACCTCATGCCCTTGAATAATGCAGCGTAAGTGTGTTTATTGTGCCAGCTCTTCTTGTAGTTTTATTCTAATCCCTCGTCTCAGGCAACATTTGTTTTGGCTGCAGTTCGATACTTCCTCCTTCAGAGCTATGCTTGGTTTTACCTCTAATTCTGTGGCCCTCAGGGGCTGGTTGTACTGATAAACTTTTACAAGTAAAAGGAGCTGTGGAGATGACCTCCAGCTGGGGCTGAAGGCCTATACAGCAGCACCTTCTTGCTGAAGCTAAGTGATCCTCTTGGGGAGGAGGGTTGGGGGTCCAGGGCCCCTGAAGTCAGGATTCCCCAGTGAGTTGGTCAATGTGGACTTAGATCTTGTTGAAATATCCAGAAGTATTTCTAAGTAGAATATTTTTGATCACAGAAACAAGGTAAATATTTTTGTCTTCCTTCAGTGGAGGACTTTGGAGCTCTCAGGTGGCTGCTCTCCATCCCAGGCCTGGCTGTAGGAGGCTACCTGGGTGGGGTGCAGGCCCATGCCTGGGGTCCTGGCTCCAGAGGCACCACATGCCACTCAGTGAGGATAAGAATCCATTCTGCAGCTTCTTTCAGCCCCACATCAATAAATGGAGACAGTGGGAAGGGAGCTGTGCTACTTTGAAGGATTTGGGGGCAGACTAAGAAGAAAACACATGTGAAAGTGCTTTGTAAGGATGAGTGCATGGCGGGGCGACGAGGGGCGTTGGAGGCACATGCAGCTGGGTAGGAGTTGCACTTTGGTCATTGGCCAGTTATGTGGCTTTGGGAACTGTTCAGACTTCTGGATCTTGGCTTCCTTTTTTGTTAAGTAGGTGATGATAGGGATCTCATTGGGCTGCTGTGAGGATGAGGTGTGTTTACAGTGCTTGGCAAAGAGTGGGGCTCCATGCACATAACTCCATTTCCTCTACATCTACATTGCTCTGCAAACGAAGGGTGCTATGACAATAAACCCACCCCAAGGCCAAAGGAGGGGCGTGCTGGGGGTGGAGAGGGATGGCTGGGAACTAACTAGCCGGCATCAGCAAAGGAGGGATTGTTTTGGTCTTTGTAGGAAATTAGGAGGATTGCCTTTCTCATCTATTACTTCCAATGAGTTCTGATGTTCTGGGGAATCTTCTCTGAATGAATCCTGGTATTGCTTCATTTATACTATAACTCTGTAGTATAACTATATCCTGTGTAATCCAAGCCAAAGATAGAGGGTTTGGGGACGACAGATATTTCAACAATAGTCACTGAGGCAAGGAATTGTGGATTCTAGGATGAGGCAGCAGGTGAAGGGCTTTGGTGCCCACACAGAGGAGAAGAGGGCAACTGGAGCGAGGAAATGTCTTGCTGTCCTGCCGTTTAGCTCTGGAAGTGTCTCTTGGGACAATCTTGGAGAAACGTCAACTGAAGTGCTAGTTTAGTAGCAGGGTAGCTGAGTCCTAGCAGTGTTTCGCATTTCTCCAGTGAAAGCCCTAGAGGACTTGGATGTCCCCATCTCTAAAGACACCGGTGGCGGCAGAGGCCCAGCTTCTAAACACTCAGGGTCACACAGGCATTGGTGCTTGGTAAACGTTTTCTTATATAATTTCAAAGCCATCTGTGACATGGCTGTATCATCCCCATTCTACTAGTGAGAAAACCAATGCCAGGGGATGGAAAAACAACTTCCTTATGGTCACACTGCCAGTCAGTGCCTGGTGGGACCCAAGCTGGGCCCCAATCCCCCATGTCCCCCTTGGCACCTGTCCTGCTTTAGGGAAGATGGTCTGTGGTCAAAGCTTAATCTTTGCTTTGATAAAGGATTAATTCAAATTTTGGAATGAAAAGAAGAGATTTTGAAGCCCTAAAACTGTACTGTGTGACAAAACTCCTGTTCTTGGGATATGGTGGCAGAAGTAAGGGAAAGTGTCAGAAAAAGTCCCGCAAGGTGAGAAAAACTGAAAAAGAGACCCCTTTCCTATAGAGGCTCACGAAGGGGAAATTGCAACTGTGCGACCCTGTCTGCTAGCTTTCTCTGTCACTTCATCCCCCATTCCTGTTGCTGTGTGCACTTTTATCCAACCCTCTTAATGTCCATGGCTGCGCTACCAGCAAAATCTAACCCCATCTGCTTGGCTAAGCTTCTTGCGCTCACCTATACCTGAGGAGTACGACATCAGGCTTCAGGGCTTATTGAAGTCATTACTCACATCATTGCACTAATCACAAACAGAAGTGAAAGTTGTAAATTGTATATAATTACATTTCATAGAGAAAAAAGTAGATTTAAAAATGGCAATTAATATTCTTAATAGCCAAAAGTTATTGCTAATTAATAAGAAAAACATAAGCACTCCAATTGAAAAAAAATGAGCAAAGGTCATAAAGACATAAAACTCGCCTGTGGAAACATACGTAGAGGAAACACAGAATTAGTGAGTGTGTGTATGGAAATAAATGGAAGGATAATGCTTGCTACCCAGTGTGGGCTTTGGGGGTAGATCTACCTGGACTGAGTTCTGGATTCACTATTTACTAGCTCCATGACCTTCAGCAAAGTAACCTCTCTAAGCCTTTGTTTTTATCTGTAAAATAGGGATACTTATTTTCCCTGCCTTGAGGGGTTATTGTGAGGATAAAAGAAAATAATTCTGTAAAGGGCTTAGTAAAGTGCCTGGTGCAGAGAAATTTTTCAGTGCAGATTAGCAATTGTCACTGCTAGTAGTATATTTGCATTGATAACAATTAGTAATTTAACATCTCACTGAAATCAAAGAAATGCAATTAAAACAACAAATACATATTATTTGTTACTTATCAGATTGGAAAACAGGTGAAAAGATTGACAGTAACCACTGTTGGTTAGATGTGGAGAGATGGGTTCTCTTGTGCAATTCTGGGATGGTAGGACCTGATGCCCCATTTCTGCAGGGCAATTTGGCAATATACATTAACGTTGAACATTCTGATAGTTTTTGACCCAGTCATTCTTCTCTCAGAAACTTATTCCTGGGAGATAACTGAACAAATGCACAATAATGAATATATAAGAATGTTTATCCTGGCATTTTTTTTTATAGAAACAAAAATTCAGAAGCAACTTAAACATCCTTCAGTGAGATTGACTAATAAGTCCTGCTTCATTTTTATGACAGAATGCTACTACTAATAGCAGTGTTCTAGATTTTCATCCACCATCATGGATAAAGCTCTCCGTCATGTGGATGGGTAAGAAAACATGGAGTGGAAAATGACATCTATACTGTGCCCATGTATGTGTATCAATCTTTTAGTTTAGTAAAAGACACAAGTTTGGGAAAATGTGCTTTAAATTGCTTACATTGTCCTCTTCTTGGGATCTAATTTCGTTATTTGATTTTTATGAGTGTCTGTTATCTTTTTACTCAGAAAAAAAAGGAAAAGGAAAGTTTTTTTTTTTTTGTCCTTTAGCAGCAAAACCTTACACAAAGATCTACACGTTGATTTCGCTCCTATGAACTGACTTGGAGTTATGTTCCAAGAACGCATCACCACAGCTTGCTTCCTTTTCTTTCTTCCTTGTTTGTTACTCAGAAGTGTTTCTTCATTCTTTAGTCTATGATTCATGCAAGAAGACAGAACCAATGTTTTGCAAGACCTTCCCATGAAGTAGAAAGAACAGTAGTGTTCACTCCATAAGAGGCGTGCGCTACCACTTGCCTTGCCTCATGGGCAATGAGGAAGTTGCATGGGTTTCCTACGGCTCTGCAGGGGTGGAGTGAGCCAGAAAGAACTGGTCAGCCCTAGACATTCAGGTGCTATCAAATACCAGCCCTAGGGTCAAGAACACTTAAAAACAAAACAAACTTGAAACTTCCTTTGCTTGTGTTGCTTAGAATCACTGCGGTAGGAGGATTCCTGAGGCATTACCTGGATAGTCTCATCTGGCTGGACATGCAGGAGAACTGGGAGACTGCCGAGACTGCCACGTGGGGTGACTTGAGGGATCTTTGACACTCTCTGTCTTAATCTGTTTTGTGTTGCTATAACAGAATACACAGACTAAGTAATTTATAAAGAAAGGAAATTTACTTCTCACAGTTTTGGAGGCTGAGAAGTCCAAGACTGAGGGGCTGGCATCTGACGAGGGCCTTCTTGCTGCTTCATTCCACGGCAAAATGGCAAAGAGAAGGTGAGAGAGAGCAAGAGGGTGAACTCGCAGGGTCTGGCTTTTTTATAATGGCATGGATCCATTCATGAGGGTGGAGCTGTCGTGATGCAACTCCTCCCATTAGGCCCGACCTCCCACCACCATTGCATTGTGGGTTAAGTTTCCAACTCATGATTTCTGGGGGACACATTCAAACCATAGCACCCTGTGCAACCTACCCTGAACAACGCTATTATCCATCTCTTCTTTTCCTGGTTTGAACTTCCCACTATAAATAAAAATTCCAAAATGCCTTACATAAGCCTTGTCCTATGATGTGCACCACATTTAGCAAACACTGTTCCGTTTGAGCCGCACAACAACCCTTCAAGGCAGGCGAAGTGAGACTGATTATCCTCATTTTACAGATGAGAAGAAAGGCTCAAAGGGACGGTGGGACTTGACTGAGGACCCAGCACCTCCTGGACCTGAATCAAGGCCCTCTGTCCCGCTGCTTTTGTTGTTGTTTACCCTGCAACTTCACAGCCCTTCAGAAGGCCCTGGACATCATGTGCAAGCTCCGTGGATGGCCTGAGATTCATCCTTCCAAGTTGTTTTCTGACTGAGAGGCAACATTTTAAATTGTGATCCCCCCTTACCCCACCACACACACTGAAACAAAAGTTTCAAGAAGTCATTACCACACAATGACTCAGATATGTTCTAGTCTAGTCTGTCTATTCCATTCCATTCCAGTCTCTTTCCAAACGAAAATAAAAGGAAGGAAATGCTGCATGCGACTTGGTAAGTTAATTTCAGGACACCTTGGGACTGCTTCCTGCTGCATGAGGCATCAGCACACAGCAGGGGATATTTTGCATTCCTGTGTGCACCGTGGGTTAGACAGGCTGCTTGGCCCTAAGTGGAGAATGGAACTCCAGTAGAAAGGCTGAGATGCACTGCAAGTAACCACTGCAGAAAGGAGAGGATGCCCACAGGCAGGCTGAAGTGGACCCGTGTGGAAGGAACACTTCAAGACCACTGGCCAAGAGACTTCCTTCATTTTTATCCCTTCCTGTTTTTCGCCTGTGCTGAGGATTCACCACCAGTGTGGGGAGCCTCTGACTGTAAAAGGAAAGCTGACTCTGGCTCCTTCGTGTTTTCTGTTAAGTTGGGGCCTAAGTTTTTCTGCCAGCCTTTGCGGAGGAAATGCAGCTTCCCTGGCACACTGCCCGGTCAAGGGACGTTGAATCCATTGCAATCAGCAGTTGAAGATCCACACTACAGGCCATGTTCTTAAAATAAGTGGCTCCAGGACTTCCAAGAGGCAGAAGGGGCTTCAGCTGGCCATGGGCAGGATCCAAGTGGAGCTTCATCCCTGCAGAGCAATGCCTGGCTCTCAGCGGAGGCAGTCTGGAGCAGGGCTTCTACCCTTTTCAGCTCATAGATTACTTTGGAATCTGATGAACACTGGGAGCCTTCTCCTTAGAAGAACATACATATGCACGAGAATGAGACAATTACATAACATTCCTTGGGTTTCACAGATGCTGAAGCCAATGACTTGCTTGAAGCCTGGAAGAGGGTGTTGACCTGGAGAATCCTAAAGGCCAAAATTTAGAGAAAATGGTGCCAGTAAATGAATTCACAAGGAGAAATGCTTCCTTGCCAACTCACTTCTCCAGATTATTGAGTGCATCTATCTGTTTGCTTTTGGCTTCACGCAATTGGCCCTCTTCAGTTCCGTACTCTTTCCTAAATACCTTGCAAGTTTTCCTCTTCTCTCATGCCATTTATAATATGCTGACGCCTGATTAGAGGAAGGAAGGACTCAGCTGCACTTGCACTGGGGGAAGGGCCACTTACAGGAAGCCTACCTGGGGCTGAGCTGGGTCTCACTGCCTCCTAGACCTAAGGGCCCCAGCTTTTCCCTCATCTCTTGTTGCAGCCACCACTTGTTCTAGATCTGCATCCATATCTGTAAAATGGGGGTGATAATACCTTCCCATAAAGTCACTGTGAGGATTAAATGTCCGGCACAATATTTGATGCATAGTGGTGCTGAATAATATTTATTGTCATTACTATCATTATTATTGGCTGCTACCTTCATTTTGAAATTCTATCCATGAGCTACATTAATTAACCTGCATTCAGTGTCAGGATGTATTTCTTAATTTAGATTTTTAAATTTTTAGAGCATGTGGCTAACCATGAATGTTGCATTTTCTCAGTACCTATTTATTCATATGAAACTATAGGTCTGGGCTCAGAGTTCATCAATATTTATAGAGAAGGCTCTACCTGTTGAGCACTGTGCTAGGCATCCCCAGAGATGCTGGCCTACTTCATGCCTTAGGCAGCCCCACACGTGAGCATTACTAACCCATTGCTGCTATGAGAGCATTCAGAAAGAAAGCAGTTTAAGTTGCTTGACTAAACTGGTAGAGTTGAAATTAAACTCTGTCTCTTCATGTTACTGGACTGCTTGGATATCTACTTTCAGAAAGACTACAGCTTGATATAAACATTGTAGTTTTGCTCATGGAAAACTTACAGTAAATCTGGGCTGTTTCAACACAACTGTCAAACTGTTCACCTACAGCTGTATTTTCTCTTGCAATGGGTGAATAAGGTACAATGATGGTTGTACAGACCATTACTATTATTACCTGTTAATTTACATTTAAACAGATTTATAATTTCTGGCCCTGATTTCCAGTCCAGTATACAGCAAAAATCCATATTTTAAACTAAAAATAATGTGCTTTTCATAAAATCATAAAGAAACCCACCTGGCTATTGTCTGGGGACTTGCGAGAAGGATCCTTTGTAGTTTTCTTCCATGTCTTCTAAGGAATAGTTTGGAACACATAGTAAATAGTCAATTAATACCAAAGGGCATTTGCAAAACTATCAACTCCCAGTTTATATAAAGGACCAGCCACCAGAATTATACATGAATTAAAAAGTTAGCACACCATAGTCAGAGAAGGACAACTTGGGAATAGTTGTGTAACAGCCGTGAGGGTAAGCGAAGGGTCTGTCTACCTGTGCCTTCCCAGAATACTGCCTCTCTTCTGGTCTGCTTTGGGAACAGTCAACAGGAAAGAAAAAGTAGACAGATAGAGTCAGTGCGCTGAATAAAAGAAGATTCTAGATCACTACAAGAGGCTTGTCATTTGAGGCAAAGTGTCTGAGAGAGGAAGGTTTTTATGGCCTCAATGGGGAGACTGGTCACTGATAAAGCGTTCTGGATCTTTTGTGGGCCGGAAGATAAGTTGAGTTTTGGTTAATGTTTAATGATGCAGAACAAAAGTCATAAATAGTCCATGAGAAATAAGAGCACAAATGATTGGGATTGGACAGTTTGCTTATTCAGCTGCAAAATGTGCTGTGTTCTATTCTTGTCATCCCCCCATGGTATAACAAAATGCAGTGTGACAAGGAATATAAATGTCCCCTAATGCATGGGCAGCTTTTTCTGTTCTAAGAGAGTCAGCATGAGTCACTCAGCAGGTGAAAAATGTTTAATTTAGAGAAAATAGGATAAATAGCAATAGCTTCCACACACCATCATTGCCTGTATCAGGTAGGAATAAGATTACTGCCAGAAAACCTGAATGAACAGTGGCTCAAACACAAGGTGTTTGATGCACCCCATAAGAGGTTGCAAAGCGGGCAGTCCAGCCTGCTATGGCTGTTCCCCAAAGACCCAGGCTCGGGCTGCTTGAGCTCCAGCCATGGCTTCCACACTCCATCCAGCAGGATGGAGGAAGGGGTAAGAAAGGGTCGACTCCCTTCTTCGTATGCAGTAGTTTCTGGGATTTGCGTGTATCACTTCTGCTTGAACCCCATTGGCCAGAATTTAGTCACATGGCCACACCCAGGCCGAAGGAGGCTAAGAAATGTAGTCTTTATACAGGACCGGGATGATGAAGAACTGGGGGTTCTAAATTGACACTCGGGAGCCAGCCGCAGTTTCTGCCACACAGTTCCCGGGATTTGATTGTCCCCAGCCAGAAGTGGTGCCTGGAGGGCGTCATGTGAAGCCCTGGGAGGGCAGACGCCCGGAGCCTGGACTCCAGGCCACAGAGCCAAACACGGTAATGGCTGCCCAGGTGGGTGGGTGCAGCCTTTGCTGCTCTGTGGCTCTGACCAACGCCAAGGGTAGGAGTGATGAATCTGGTGAGAGAGAGGAAGAGGACCCAGGGAGACAACATTTGGTGAAGTGGCCTACTGTGGTGGTCCAAAGGCCTTAGATTACTCTGAACTTGGATCTGCTGTGTGGTACTGGCCAGTTACTGGAAGCCGCCATGTTCTCATCCACCTAAGGGTTTTGGGCAGCATTGGGTGGGGTAATATATAATACATTATATACATATATATAATGTATATAAAATCTAATTTTAATTACACATGAGAATTGGATGGGGTGATATATATAATACATTATAGACATATTGTATATATACTAAGTTTAATTATATATCAGAATTGGGTGAGGTGATGTATATAATACATTACATGTTCATAACGTATATATAACAATTATAATTATGCAATATAATGCATATATGTATGTATTTTATAATTATATAATTGAGTGGAATGATGTATATGAAGCATTCAGCCCAGAGCTTGGCAAGACGTAGTTGTTCAAGAAATGTCCATTTTTACACCTAGTGACTTGGGAGCAAAGATGGGGCAGTGAGCTGGAAGCCTTCTGCAGAAGGGCAGGCTTCTGCTGGTCGGCGGTGGGCGTGGGGGCCATCACAGAAGCACCCATCATTGCCTGTTTCATCTGCTGTGCAGCTCCAGGCGCTCCTGATGGAATGTCACAGACATGCTGCCGTTCTCTGCTCGCTGTTTCCCAACCACTCCTCACCACCAGTCCTTCCCCAGTGAAAATAGCCCTCATGTCACTGCCCTCGAGGACTAGGGTTTTAAGTTTGTCCCTGATAACTAAAAGTGTGAGAGACAACAGGGAGATCGATATCAGCATCATGAGGGCAATCACAGGAAACCGGTAATTTCTGAGGTGACGGTGGGCTGTGGCTGAGACAGAGGTAAGGAGGATAGTACAATGGTCAGGAAGTCTGCAGTCACATTGTCTTTACTGGCAGTTTTAAATTCTCCGCAGGCTCAAGGCAGTTTTCTCAGCCGGCATGATTTGGAGGTGAATACCTTCTGGGGTGTGAAAAATGCATGTGGAGGGATTTTCAGCTTCCAGCCCTCTCCTGGGACTGCGCAGCCCACAGCCTACACAAGTGGGATGTTCCAGTGAGAGCTGCAGGTCCAGACTGACCTCATTATCCCCCAGCCTGGCTTCTCCCAGCTTTCCTCTCTCCACGATGCCCTCCACCCATCCAGACAACCCAGCCAGGAAACTGGGCGTCATCTCACACTCATGCCTCCCATTCCCACCCAAGCTAACAGTCCTTTAAATATGTACTTTAAAAATCCAACCCAGTCCTCCTGGACCCCCAGCAGCAGGCCTCCTTGAGAGCCTCATCATTTCTCCAGGAATTATTGCCACAGCCTCAGACTGCAGACCTCTCATCCTCAGCCACCTGCTGATCACAGCCATCTTGCTTCCCTGGCTCCCCATCACCTCCAGGAAAGATCCCCAAATCCACTGCTGGCTGTTCATGTTCTGTGGCTTCAGAGACACATCCAGCCTCCCCCTCAGCCCCTCTCCCCAACTCATTCCCTGCTTTAGAAAAATCAAATATTTCCAGAACTCACCATGCTCTCCCATGCTGCTAGGCAGATGGTTCCACTCCTGGACAACTCCCCCTGGTCCGGGTTCCAGCAGTTCTCCCCTGGAGGGCCCTCTTGGGGTTCTGCAGAGCCTAGATGGGGGCCCCCACAGTCTCTTAGCGCCTAACAAAGAGTCCCTCCTTGACCAGACTCCAGCCAGACTCTTGATCCATAAAGACTTGAACAAACACTAGCATGACCTCTATCAGCTTAAGGCCACATCCCTGGAATGACCCTAGCCCCTTACAGTGCCTGCCTGAGAAAACTCAAGGCTGCTAAAAGAATCTACTGTTTGTTCCAGCCAACAAGTGGAAGACACGGGCTCTGACTCCCAGCCTCTGCGGGTGGTGGGAGCCTGACTTCATAAGCTCAGTCAGCAAACCCAGATGGGTTCACACAGACCATGTCCCCTTCCTGCTTTCTGGAAATGTTAACTTCTCTGACTATACTGGGCCCCCACTCACCCCTCTCCCTCCTCCCTCATTCCCCCTTTAAACACCCCGTCCTCTCTGCACAAATCAAAGCGGAGTCCAGCTCGCGTGGGGCCCTCCTCCCTCCAGCAATGGTGCATTATTGACTGACATGTATCCTGACCACTCTTCCTAGTGTCCACCTTTGCTTCTTTTTGACCTGCCTTGGGAAAACCCTCGTATAGTTATTTCCATTGTTAGCATACCTTTCACATCAGTCCTCTGTGGATCCATTCATTCATTTATCCATTCATTCAATTAATTTAGAGTGAATTTTCTTCCTTGTGTTAGCTGTAAGAGGTACAATGCAGATGTCTTCTCCTGCCTTAGCTGCTTTAGCAAAGTACCAAAGGCCAGATAGCTTATAAACGACTGGCATGATTTCTCACAGCTCTGGAGGCTGCAAGCCGAGACCAGGGTGCCAGCAGGGTGAGTGCTGGTGAGGGGCCCTATGGAGTTGCAGACGACTGACTTTGTGCCTCCTCACATGGTAGAAGGAGGGCAACAGAGCTCTGTAGGTCCTTTTTATAAGGGCGCTAATCCCATTCATATTACCTTAGAAGGCCCCACCTCCTAATACCACCACATTAGGGGTGAGGATTTCAACAGAAGAATTGTAGGGAAACACACACGTTCAGTCCTGTGCACCCTCCTTGGGAAACTTCTTCTAGGTTGGGTTCAGTGTCTCTCCTCTGCACTTCCATAGGACTCGTGCTGGCGTATGTGCTTATTACACTGTAATAGCAGATATTTGCCTGCTTTCCTTACTGGACAGTGACCTCTTTAAGGATAAACTGAGCACTTTGTGTCTGTGAGAGAGTATGTGTGAATACACAGTTCTGTATGTGTGTGTGTGAGCCACACAGGGTCTGACTCCATGAAAGATTTTTGAATGAATAAATGAATGAAAAGTGTTACGAGATTGATCTACTCGAAGTAGCCTAACTACTTCGTGATTCACTCTGCATCATTATAACTTGAAATACGAAGTCATTTGGGAACATGCTTAAAGCCAAAACATATTATTTAGTCACAAGGGATTCTGAGAAAAGAGGAGTCCTACAGCTATGGAGGAACTATATTCAGCAAGTCTGTTGATCTGTTGTTGAAGGATCAGGTTTCTTTTTGGTAATGAACGTGTTCAGTGCAATATCTGTCTTATGTTAAGAGCAACCATGTAATGATTAAAATGAATAACCTTCATGCTTCTGGAGCTGTGCTCAACCAGTTCTGTCAAAATACAACCAGTGAGTCTGCTGGTTAAATTTAGAGTGGAACATGAGGAATAAGTCAAGAGAGAGGGAAATGTCTCCAAATTAATTGTTGTGGTAAGTTCCCGGCAGACAGAAACTGGAGGCTTATTTTGCTTAGCAAGCCTCACAGTGAAAGGGATTAATTCTGTGAAGCACCGGGTCACTGTGAGAGTTTAGTCCTCACAGCAAGAAGAGGCCTGGGTATGTGGATGGTGTTTGTCTATGTGGACATGCCGTCATCCTAACTAACGGGCTGTCTAGGCAGGCTGGTGTTGGGTCAGGACAGTGGGTCCTTCTGTGGGTGCTGATCAAATTTGATTACTTAAATAGTTTCATTAAATATGGAACAGGGTTACAGGGTGTAGTTACAAGGACCAGGAAATGGAGGGTCCTTACCCTCCATTGGGGGTAGGGTGAGGGGGCTTGTAAATTATACATTGAAGCATTTTAAGGAGCTTTTTCAGACCTATGGTAGAGTAGGGAACTCTGAACAAAAGGATTGAGGTGAATGTTCTAGAATTACTCTAGGAATATCCTAGTAATGCTCTGGGAGGTAACATTCTAGCATAGAGTTTTGGGCAGTGTATCTTGCTAGTTGTGGAGCTTGGGTTCAAACTCGGTAGATCAAGGCTCAAATATCAGCTCTGCCACTTGCAAGCTGGGTGACTTGGGCACGTTGACATGTCTGTAAGCCTCCGTTAGCTAACCTGCAGAATGGAGGCAATAATAGTAATGCTCTCGGAGGAGGATGGCAAAGAATGGTAGTTGCCATTTGCATTAAAAGGATCTGGGTAGGAGAGCATTTAAGTGGCTCAGTGCAAAACTTTACAGTTTCAACTTTAAAATTAAATTGCATGAAGAACAGTGCAAACCCTTGTTTTCCTCAGTAATTCGGTAGTGCCCTCCTCCTCCACTGTGGCAGGTCAGGGCTGGGAGGTGGGAAACTGCTCAGGTCTCAGCTCTAGCATTAATCAGTTCCCCTTGGGCAAGCCCCTCAGGCCCCTGCGCTCCATCTGTGTGATGAGGTCATTGGCATATGTGTTCAAGGTCTCTTCAAGTCACAAAATTCTATAGCTCTCCAACTGACTGCTGGTCAGCCCAGTATTGTGGCAGAAGGTAGTTTTTTTGATGTGTACACAATTCAGTTATTCTTAAAATAGTTTCCATAAGCAGAGAGAGAACAAACTACTTTTTATTTACTTTTTCAGCATGAGTAGATCCTGCCAAATGCTCGAAGGTAAATTTTGGTGATGGAGTCAACCATGCATGCAAACTGTACAAGTCTACAGAAACGACACAAACACAGTAGCCGTGCTTTCCAGAGCAGAGTGGCTGCAAGGCAGAGTGGGGAGTGGAGACAGAGAGGATGTATGAATCCTCTCCACCTGGAGAGCAAGTGCTTCTAGGAGAAAATTGCTAAAGAAATGTCCACCAAATGTTTTAAGAGCAATTTAAAAATCATCAACAGCACCAATTTTGTATTAATATACTTGACCAAGGATTTATATCCAATTAGGAGAGAGGAATTCTGATTTTCTACTCATTTTTGTTACCAGTATATGCCTGTGGAGAAAAATGGAAGGGAAAGAAGACCAAAACAGGAGTCATGTCTTGTTGGACTAAACTGAGTTCTCAATCCAGATTACACATTTGAATCATCAGGTGCTCTAACACACAGTCAACGCCTGGGCCCTGCCTCCAGGACTCAGATCCCCTTGATCTGGGAGGGAGTGTGGACACCCCTAAAGGATTCTCACGTGCAGCCAGCATTGAGAACTGCCAGGTTTAACAGTCACCACCTCCTCCACCCTAAGCTACTGAGGATCAGTTGTTTTTTGTTTGCCTGTTTGTTTTATAAAAAGCAGAAATTTTATTTTCTCATAGTTCTGGATACTTGGGAAGTCCAGGATCCAGGCACCAGCAGATTTGATGCCTGGCGAGAGCCGCTCTCTGCTTCTGAAATGGTGCCTTCTTGCTGTGTCCTCACATGGCAGAAGGCAGAAAGGCAAATTGAACCTAGGTAGTTTGGTAGTTCCCTTGAGTGCATTTATAAGGGTCTAACCCCATTCATGAGGGCAGAGACCTTATGGCCTAATCATCTCCTAAAAGCTCTACCACTTAATACTCTCATGTTGGGTCTTAGCTTTCTTTTCTTTTTTTATTTTTAAGGTTGGATAAATGTGTTATTAATGACCTTGTTTACATCATAATATGTGTATTTATGTGTATATACACATACTCACATGCTAACAGATATATATTTTTCTATAAAGAACAATATTGAACATCAGCAGACAATTTCCAAAATATTTCTTAAAAACCAGAAGAGTACAACCCGATGAAGTTTCTCTACGTTATTCACAGAGCTTCAAACCACCATTTAAAAAAATTATGTATTTATTTCTTTATTTTAACTTTTAAGTTCAGGGGTACGTGTGCAGGTTTGTTACATAGGTACACTTGTGTCATGGGGGTTTGTTGTACAGATTATTTCATCGAGGGTCAGTTGATGAGCCAGTCCCTCCAGGTTCCCACTTCATTCCAGAGTAGGTCTAGAGCCCTTGGACTTTCTGAATCATTTTATGTAGTGGCGCCTTATCTTGGAGGAGTTTCTCAAACAGAATCCCTTTGTCCCTGGCCTGCTGTGGTCACGCCCTCCTTCCCCAGAAAGGGGCTTCTCAGGAAATCTTCTTTTGATGAACTCTTTACAAGCCTGCCTTGAAGAGGGGTAGATAGGAGGAGGCACCACCGAGGAAAAGCCTGGAACAGCTTCTTGCTCCTCCCTCCAGGTACATCGAAAGTGGTGTTGTCCAGTAGGATCTCCTGCAGTTACAGAATGTTCTAGACCTGGGCTGTCCAATATGGTAGCTGCAAGACATAGGTGGCTCTTGGCACTTGAAATGTAGGTAGACAACTGACCCTTCTTAATTTCATTTAATGATAGATGATTAGTTCGAATTTATTATTATTTTTGAGATGAGTTCTTGCCATATTGCACAAGCTGGTCTTGAATTCCTGGGCTCAACCAATCCTCCTGTCTCAGCCTCTCAAGTATCTGGGACTCAGATGCACAGCACCATGCCTGGCTCAAGTTTAAATCTAAATAGCCCATCTGTCTAGTGGCTGCTGTATTGGATTTCACTGTTCTTTGTGATGTAGGGCTCTGAATTACTATGTTGTTCCTCAGCAGATATTTTCCCTGGGGTTTTCTCTGATCATATTAACACCTGACTTGCAGTCTTCCTGTAATCACCTTGAGTGACGTCAGTGTCCCGCTGAGTGACCCACCCAAATCTTGGCCTGTTGGTTCCTTGACATCCTCCGTAATAGTAATTGTCCCCTCTGCCCCACTCAAGCTACCATTTTCTGGGGCCATTGCAAGTCCTTGTCCTTACCTGGAATTGTTCTACCTTTGAAATTTTAAAGAAAATGTATCACACTGCTCTTCTCAGACCTGTCACCCACTCACCCACTGCACTACTGAGGCCTCTTTTCCCTGGACCTTCCACTCTCTCCTTCTCGCTTTCATGACCAAGATTATTGTTCTAAGACTCCCTTAACTTTTAAAAGCTGTCTACTTGTTTCTAAACCAGTGGATATTTTTTAGGCCAAATAATATTACTTAGCTTTTCAGAGAGCTTGGTGGTCTGGGGTCGCTCACTCCTTCTTCAAATGTTTTCTCCCCATGGCTTAACTGATCCACTTCACCAACTCTTACTGGGGCATCTGGATGATACTATAAGTGGCAGGCAGTATACCAGATACTGGGTGTAAGAGTCAGCAAGACAGGCATGTCCCAGCCTTCTAGAATTTAGAGTATAATGAGGAAAATGGACATTAATGGTTGCACTAAAAAATATGAGAGGACAAGTGGGAAAAGCCTGCAAAGGAATGTAGTGTGAAAACCCCGCATGGGGGAATTCTCTCAATCCTATTTAGCCCCAAATGCTTCTGATTCTGTCTCTTGAATAACTCTTTAAAAAACTGTGGTCAAATATACATAACACAAAATGGACCATCTTAACTATTTTAAGTGTACAGGTGAATGGCATTAAGAGCATTCCCATCATTAGGCAACCATCTCCAACACCCGTCTCCAGAACTTTTGCATCTTCCCAAGTGGCAACTCTGTGCTCTTTCAACAGCACTTCCCATTCTCCAGACCCCCAGCCCCTGGAAACCACCATTCCGCTTCCTGTCTCTATGCATTTAACTACTCTAGGAGCCTCATGTGAGTGGAATCACACAGTAGTTGTCCTTCTGTGATTGGCTTATTTCACTTAGTACCATGTCCTCCGGGTTCACCCACATTGTAGCGTGTGTTAGGATTTCTTTCCCTTTTACCGCTGAATCATATTCCATTGAATGGGGAGAACCGCGTTTTGATCATCCATGCGTCCACTGATGGACACTTGGGTTGCTCCCACCTTTTGGCTATTGTCAATAATGCTGCTATGAACATGTGTGTACAAGTAGCTCTTTCATTCCCTGATTTCAATTCTTGTGGGTGAATGTAGCTAGAAACAAAATTGCTGGATCATGTAATAATTCTACTTTTAATTTTTGAGGCACCACCACACTGTTTTCCATAGCAGCTGCACCATGTTACATTCGCACTGATACTGCTCAGGGGTTCAATTTCTTCACATTCTTGCCCACACTTGTTAATTTCTCTGCTGTCTTTTATTTATTTATTTTTGACAATAGGCACCCTAATGATGTGAGATAGTGTATCTTTGTTTGTTAATGGGAGAATTTATTTTGATACATGTATGTTCTGGTGATGAATATTTCCAAGAACTTCTTCTCTCACTAAACAATTCTCAAGTCTTAGAAATCGCCGGAGGTCTCCCAAGGGGGGCTTTCCCTAGAAAGGACGGTCCCATGGGGAAATGTTGAAGCTGACACCTCGTGGGTGGCTTGGCCTCCTTAGGTGTCTGGACGCACACTTGTACCACTGCACCGTAACGAGGCACAGGAGGTGAGAAGAAACACAGCCTGTTGGACAAATGCCTGCTCTCTCTTCGGGTGCACCTTGGAGGAAGCTTCTCTTGGGGGAAGGCAGGAGACACAATGAGAGAGATAGGCGAGTGGATTATGGCCTTTGAATGGCAGATCTTGGTTTTGGACTTCATTTGATGTGAAATGGGGGCCAGCTGAAGCTTTTGGATTAAGTTCAAGGAGCTTTAATGTGATGAGGAGGTAAGTGGAGGTGGCTGTGGTGACTCCGGGAAGTGATGAGGGACGCCTGTCCTGAGGTGTGCCGACGGGGACACAGAGGAGGTGACAGATATGGGAGGAATTCAGGAGGTCATGGAGTTCAGGCTTTGAGGCCAGCCTGATGCTGAGATGGGGGTGGCTGGGAGGAGTCCACACTGGCTTGGGCAATTGGGTCATGGCGGTACTTTGAGTCAGGATAGAAAATTTCAAAATGCAAACTGATTTTGTGGAAAATATATCAAACTACTTTTGGAAAGAAATGTAATATTTAGTTGGCAGATATTTTACTCCCATAGGTGGAGATAACATAGAAGGCCTTCCAGGACATGGAATCGCTCCTCTCCCAGCCCATATGGTGGGGAGGGCTCCTCCCGACTCTCCCAAAGGGAGGCTCTCTCTCCCTTACACAGCTGTCCTCTGGGCCTGGGGAACAGTGCCCAGCCAGCCCAGGGGTGTTCCACCCACAGGAGGCCTGAGACATCCTCTCAGCTGCTCCAATGCCTCAGTCAAAGGGACCAGAACTGAATACCTGTAGCCATCCTTAGACAGGCCAAGTTCAGTTTTTCATCTTGCAGGCAGTTTCACAAAACCATTTTGATACATAATATTTGTACATATTTACGGGGTACCTGTGATATTTTGTTACATGCATAGAATGTGTAATGATCAAGTCAGAGTATTTAGGAAATCCATCACCTTGTGGATTTATGTGTTGGGAACACTTCAAGTCCTGCCTTGTAGCTATTCTGGAATAGTCAATACATTGTTGTTAACTATAGACACCCTACTCTGCTATTGAAAATCAGAATTTAGTTCTTCTATGGAACTGAGTGTTTGAAGCCATTCACCAACCTCTCTTCATTTCTACCCCTCACCTACACACCATTCCCAGCCTCTGGTAACCATCATTCTACTCTCTGCTTCTGTGAGATCAACTTTTTAAGCTCCCATTTATGAATGGTGGACGCAATATTTGTCTTTCTGTGCCTGGTTTATTTCACTTAACTAATGACCTCCAGTTCCATGTTGTGGCAAATGATGGGATTTCATTCTCATTTATGACTGAGTAGTACTCCATTGTGTATATACACCACATTTTCTTTATCCACTCATCCATTGATGGACACCTATATTGATTCCATATCTTTGCTATTGCAATGCCCACAGGCAGTTTTGAGCACATACCTGGTTCTCAGAGGCAGGGGAAGATACAAAGATGAGTGAGAAACCATTTCCACGTTAGATCAGTTCATAGTCTAATTGCAAAGATGAACATATAAGGAATAACCCAATAATAATATACAGTCATCCTTCAGTGTCTGTGGGGTGTCAGGTCCATGACTACACCAAATATCACCCTTGGGGTCAGGTTTCAGCCCATGCTGAGGTCCGGAGGGAGTGAGTCGATGAGTAGATAGCTGAAAGAACACTTGGGGGGCTGTAGGCAAGTGCAATGTGGTTTTATTCAGCAGCAGCTCTCATAAACAGCTTACTTATATTAGCTCTTTTACTTTGTCCTCTCATCAGCAGCTTTCCTACACTGTTCACCCTGTCTTGGCTGCTTAGTCCAGTGGCTCCCACCCACAACTGTGTGGCTGGCTCTCCCCTGCCTTCGGGTTCAGCAGCTTCACTCTTTCTCTCTCTGGGCACAAGCAAGCCGAGCTGTGTCCTGGCTCCCTCCTGTCCGTCTGCAAGATGGACAGCTTTGGCCCTCTTCCTTTCTCTGGGTGTGAGCATCTGTACAGTGTCAGCAGGACAATTATACTTTTTACAGGCAATAGTGGCTTAGAGTCAAATGATGAGCCTTCCCGTGTTATGGCTACATGGCTGTGATAGCAAGTGGAATTATGCACCTGCACTCTAAACTCGTGGAGTCATTCTGGATGTTTATCTCTGCCTATCCTTGACCAAAGTACAACCATGTTCCTTACAGGGGGATTGGTTCCAGGAACCTGTTTGGATGCCAAAATCCATGGATGCTCAAGTCCCTGATATAAAATGGCATGGTATTTGCATATAACCTAGAAACACCCTCCTGTGTACTTTAAATCATCTCTAGATTATTTAGAATAACTAATACATGTAAAGGCTAGGTAAACAGTTGTTGTATTGTTCAGTGAATAATGACAAGAAATAAAGGTCTGTACAAGTT